>NC_000012.12:39126794-39278309 GCF_000001405.40 Homo sapiens | reverse complement strand
CTCCAGATATTCACCAATTACGGCTTTGGTTTTTCTACTTTACCACTGGTTCTCAAGGAGGTTTCTGCCCGTGAGTTTCTGCTTTAGTAAGTTGTAATTCTCTGTATTCTCCTGTTGTTTCTCCAGTTTTGGAGGCATCAGTTTGTCCTGCGACCTCATTTCTCTGACAGATCTAAGAAGAGCTGTTCATTTTCTCCTGACATGCTGTATTGAAAGCCAGAAGCCCCTATTTCTCTATATATAGTAGAACATTTGATATTATATAATAGTATAGAAAATATCAAACAGCATCTTTCTGATTAAGGGTAATTTTTTTGAGGCAGGGGTGAAGCATGTGCTTTATGTACGTGTATCTGTATCTGGGTAGAATTGATATGTAAAATATATATCTTACAGTGGATCAAGGTCAAACATTATTTAACCCTAACTCTCTTAGGATACTGTGATTTGAGCCAAGGACAGGTGATCAGACCAACTGGGAGAAGAAACCTCAACAGAGAAATTGCTGGTGATGTATCTGGGGAAATGAGGAACCACAGCTCTCTGGCTTAGGGCCTTAGAAAACCAGGCGCAAGTCATCTCCATACCCATGGGTGCTGAACTGATACCACCTTTTCTTCCTGGATTTCCTACTGTAAGTCAGACCAATAAGGATATGAGCACAAAATGATGCAATATCTGTACCATTTTGCATAAGTGAGAATACTCTCACTAAACCACAATTTAAAAACAGGTTGTTACTTTACAATCTCATCTTACACAACAGGGACCTATTTGGAATCTAAAGCAATAAAATCTTGATTTATGAAATCATCAAAATGTCAACATGCCAGGAATTATCAGTTATATAATTTGATTAATATTGCTTAAACAATGTACTTGACATTCATTTGTAAAATTCAGTACTTTTGAGAGTTGGCCAGCACTAAAAGGAAAACATATATTCCTATCAATTTTTTCTTCTTATTGGAACCAAAATAGACCCATTAGACCCATAGGGACATCAACCAATTATGCCTATTTTGTAGTCTTTTTGTTTTTGAAGGAAATAAAGAATGCCAGTATTTTGCTATTTAACAAAGGTTATGACATAAGATTACTAGAGTGATAAAATGGCACCTCTGTATGTAAGCTAAACTCATATTAATTTAGGGTTTTATAGTCTCATATATATATATATGGTTTTTTGCATAAAATCTTTCAGAAAACACCTTATTCATGTTAACATCTGAGAATACCTGTTTTGTCCTGCTGCTAAAACTGATGTAGCCATTGCATTATTGTATCTGTGGGGAAATATAGCAAGAGATACCTTTAGGTTTTGAATTTTGAAACCCTATTATTTTTTTCCTTTATCAGAGCTGGCTGTTTTAATTTAGACATCTTATTTCCTTTCCTCTTGTAGCTCTGATACTTAGATAATTACCTTAACTGTATATGTAAATATGCCTCAAGAAAATCTGATGCTAATGAGGAAACTGAGGCATGAGAAAGCTAAACAGGCTGATTATGGAAGTCAGATAGATCCTTGAATGGCCAGCTCTCCTAGGCTGTTACTTGCTAGGTGGGGTCAGGTAGGGAGGGAGGTGAAGAGAGAGAGATCTGGTTCAACTCATTCACTGATAGAGATTTCTTCTAAGCCAATACTGTCTAATAGTAATATGATATGAGTCACATAAAAAATTAAAAATTTTTGAGTAGCTACATTGAAAAAGGTAAAACGAAATAGGTAAAATCAATTTTAATACATTTTACTTAACACAATGTTTCCAAAATATTATTTCAGCATGTAATCAACATAGAAATTATCCATGAGATTTTTTGCATTCTTTTTTGTACTAAGCCTTCTAAATCTAGCATGTATTTATACTGACAGCATATCTCATCTCAATTCAGATGTTAGCTTTTCATTAGATATATTTTTAAATGAATTTAGAGTTCATAAAATTTAGAGTGGAAAAATTCATATGCACAAGTTGATCCAAACATACTTAAAAGTTTTCCATTGGTGGAACTGAGTTTGTGTTACAGCTTAAATTTAGTTTAATTAAAATTTAAAAAAATCTGAAACTAAATTCCTCAGTTGCACTAACCACATTTCAAGTGCTCAGCAGCCACACATGGCTAGAGGCTACTGTCTTGGACAGCACAGTTGTAAGCAGTGGTAATCTTAAATTATCTCCTCCAATTATCTCCTCAATTATAAAGTCGGAATTGAGAATATTCTCTAGAAACTAACCGAAAAAGATGAGAGATAAAACATTGCTTTTTTGAAATGAGGAAAGCACTGGAATTAGGGGAAATTAGGTCTGACCTGAGCCCTTAGGGCAATTAGTCAATGGATCTGTAGAGGCCTAGAGTCTCAGCTCCGTAGCTGTATGAACAACCCTACTTCACTGGGTAGTTCTGCAGATTGACAGAGGATGTGGTCAAGATGGAACAGCTTTTTTAATATTATTTATTTATTTATTTTTTATTAAAAGGATTGCAATTAATTCAAAGTCAGGCAGTTGGGCATCTTTCTTTCCTTCCTTCCCTATTTTCACTTTTCTTTCTTTGTAAACTGAAATTTAGGTCTAGTTTTACCAAAGAAGAAAGAAATTATTTGACTCACTGCATAGGTTATTTTAGGAAGAGAGAGACCAGAGAACTATTCCAAATGTGGATGAAGGACAGTATCAGCATTTTCTGCCTGCCAATCTATTTAGTTTTCATTTTCCTCCCTCATATTTCTTTATGCAGAGAGAGGACTATGAAACTTTGATTGATACACTTTTCATTTATTGTCATATACTACACTGCTAAAGACTGTCTAAAGGATGAAAACTGAATCTACTTATTTAATAATGATTATACATGCATGAAGTTTCACGTTAATATAGATGCATTATGTTTCCATGGGTTTAAAAACCTGGAAGGGCAATGTTTATTTATTATTAATGTTTTATATTAAATTGAGTGCTCAAAAACTTTTTTTTTGATTCTTAACTATTTCGTATTAGAGAAGTATAGGCTTACATATCAAGTTGATGTACTCATGCAAGTAAAATCATGATTCAAGTAAAGTAAATGCTGACGATTTATTAAGTAATATAATTAAATATACATTATAGTACGGGCGAATCAAGCTCTTACAGAATCCAGGGGAAAGGGGCAGTGGCTACCCCAGGACCTAGCTCCTTCAATGTGAGCTGATTTCTCCCAGCTGTGGGTGGGGCTATTGTGACCTGTCAGATGAAGCTACTCATTTCACCTTCTGCCTGAGGAAGGGCTCTTGGGTGCTAAGTTTTTAATCATGTCTGCTCAATCATATGAGTTTACACTTTTTTTCCCATCAGTTTGGCAATGGAGAAATGTAAACTGAGTCAAATATGCACTTGCGTATGTGTTGGGCATTTTTATTCATTCCTTCACTCATTCATTCAACAGTAATTTTTTCTAGATACAAAAATCATTCAGGCATAATTCTCTCACCCTTATGGCCATTCTAATTATCAGAGGGAGGTGGACTAGCGAGTACAGTCAAGTGTTATAAGTACTATGGTCAGTTCTACATGGGAAGAAGAAAGAGGTTAGGAAAGTGCTTTAAAAAGAGGGAAATTGCGAGTCTGGAAAAATAAATGTCCTGCAGAAATGGGTAGAAATGGGTAGACATGGGGAAAAAGCAGTCTAAGCAGGGCTTTAGGCAAAGGTTAAGAGGCTTGAAATGGTATGGCATATTTGGGGGAACTATAAGTTTTTGGTCATGGCCGAAGCATAGACTTAAAAAACGTTTTTTGATTGATATATTAGTTGTAGGTATTGAAACATAGCTTTTGTATGTCATGCTAAGGAATATGAATTTTATCTTATGTTTAATGAAGAGCCACTGAAAGCTTTTATTTAGGGAAATAATAGGATCTATCTGGTGTCTAAAAATATGATTCTGAAAGTGGTGTTGAGGATGGATGGGAAGACAATCTCCTGTGTGCCATAATATATTATGCCCATTGCAATAGCTCATGGATGATGCTGGTGTATGAATGAAAGTGGTGGCAATTGGGAAAGAGAAAAGAATTAATTTGTATAAAGTCAGTTATGAAGGAAATATTGTTCTAAGAAGATTAGGGTTTACTTAGAGACTTCATTCATTCATGAAAACAATTTGGTTCCCCATTCTCTGAAATAACAATTCAGTAATTATGAATCTGTATCAAACAATAATATAACACAATAGCAGTAAGAACAAAATGGCAAACTTTTCAGATGATCTTGATGAGCATCCAGGATTAGCATCCATGGTTTAGAAAATAAACTCTTGGAGTTCCAAAGAGTAAACAGGAGTCATTGGGGAAGGCTTTTTTTTATGACAGCAGCTCCTACACTGTTTTCTCTGTCTTACACTGGCAGGGGAAAATAAAAGGCCCTGAGGCTCACTCACCTCATTCATTCCATTTTTTCAACAGAAAAAAAAAAACCTAGGCTTTTTTTTCCCTAAATTTGGGGAAATCCTCCTCCACCCACAAAAAAAAAAAAAAAAAAAAAACTGGGGAAGAATTAAGAGGTGATTTGCAAATTTGCCAAGTATGCACAGAAGCCAGATTTTTCAGTAGCTGCATGAACTAAAGCTCTCCTAAATTTAGACAACGTTATGCTACATGAAGACAACCTTTTGATTTGTCCTGAAGTGGTCACTGGTGTTTTGGTAATGCACATCCACTGAGGAAATTTCGTATTCCAGTGTCACTGGGAGACCATCTGATGATGCGTTGTAGATGCCTGAAGCAACTTGAGCTACGAATTGAGAAATTAAGGAGGGGAAAAGAGAGTAGGATAATAACATGGTCACTGGGACGTCATGACCTTTCAATGTGCAGATTACTAACAAGTTAGTTTTTTCTGTATAGATTTTGATCTTTCTGGGAACAGTCCCAGAACAGTTTTTAGTATTTCCACCAGGGGGCAGTGATGTCCTCTACAACGTTGGTGACTGCAGCTAGACAAATTAATCATTCTTTTTTTTTTTTTGGACTTGGAGTGGGTTTGAGTGGGAAGCACTGATTAATTCTAACTGCCTATGGATATTAGGGTGGATTTGGAGTCAAATTCAAGCGGAAGACAGAATCGTTAAATAGCATCTGAAGAAGTGCAGAGCCTTAAACCAGAGTGACTACTTAATTAAATCAGTTGCTACAGTTGGTTAAATTGAATAGCTATCTTCAGACTCTGAAAACTCATAATTCTTGAAGCTCCTGTCCAGCAGCCTTAGGAGGTTCAAGGAATTTGATTTGCCAAGAATTATGTGCCCCATGAAACCACAGGAGCAAATTCTGCAGAACAGATGACAAGGGATAGAGTATTGCTTCTGAAGAGCTCAGACCCTTAATGAGTTCAAGCTCTGCCTTCTTGTCGCTAATTCCACCTTAGCTTGTCAGAAGAGATTTGGCTGCTGGAAGAATATAACTGTGTTTCCACTGGGTAAGTTTAATGCGCATGGCTCTTAGCAGGACTGGAGGAGCAGGGCTTTATGGTAGAAAAAGGAATGGACTCAGGGTTAGAAGGTATTTGAATCCTGGTGCCCACCTTTTAATTACAGTAGAACCATGGCTTACTGTAATAGGTGCTGATTAGGACCCTCCAATCTGGAGGGTCTGGCACTAACTTTGAGGAATCTTGACTAAATCACTTGGCCCCTCTGGTCTTAAAAGTTCGTATCTGTAAAATGAGTCAGTTGATCCAGGCGAGCTTTTGGATCCATCACAACTATAACATTCTAAATTTTATAGAAATACAGATTCATTACCACTTAGCTGCCATCTAGACAGTGCCAAACAACCGTGGACAAAAAAAAAGGTTTTCAGCATGACCAATTTTACCTGGCAGCACAGAATTTGAAGGTATTTATCAAAGAAGGAGGTTTATTAGTGTATACAGTGGGCAAAAAATTGGGAGAAAGGGATCATATAAGGTTTCATCTAGGAAGGCATTAGCGTATCATTTCTACCCCATTATTTTACAAATGAGGAAGAGGCAATAGGCCAAGATTCTTCAAGATTCATTCACCCAGACATTTTTCTGGGTGAATGTGCAGAAGCAAACAAAGCAAATTTCTGCTCTCTTGAGCTAATGTTGCAGCCAAAAGACAACTAACTGTGTAGCATTACAGATGATCATATATTGAAGAGGGAAGGTAGGATAAGGGGAAAAGAAAGTGCCAGGGTTCCCTTTCATCTGGGTACTTCAGAGAAGGCCTCTCAATAAGAGAACATTTGAACAGAGACCTAGAGAAGTGACAGAACTAGGCAAATATCTGGGGAAGATTGTTTTAGGTGGAGAGAGCTGCAATTTCAAGGGCTTGGAGACAACCTAGGAATAATGGGCAGGGCCAGGATTTCTCATTCACTTATGAATTTATTCATTCATTCAACAGATACTTATTCAGTACCTATGCTGTGTGACATGCTATTTTGGCTACAGGATTGAAATCTTGTTTAATTCCAAAACCTTTGTTTTCAACCATGGCAAATGATGCTTCCCTTGTACACTGACCTTTTCCCGAATACTCACATGTTGCTAAGCACTATGGTAAGCACCTTATGGACATCTTATTGAAATTAGTTTTCAAAACCATTCCATAAAATTGTTATATAAAAAAATAATACAAAAAAATATTCTAAGGAAGGCAGAAAAATGAAACTTAATGTTATTTATTTCAGATCTTATTGAATTAGATGGGAAGATGTACTGCTTTGTCTCATGAATAACTACCATAAGAAGCTACCTGAATGACCCCATTGATATTATTCAGCTAATTCATGTGAACATTTATTGAGCTTTTACTTTGTACCTGGTGTGGTGTTAGAAAGATGAATAAAATATAAACTCACAGGAGGAATTATAATAGAGTTGATAAATCCTTTATGTGTTGGGCTAACTCTAAGGGAATGAGCAAGGTGCTGAAGTTGGGGGAGGAACAAAGATCTGAGTCTTGCTGGGGAAGTCAGGAAAGGCTCTATAAACCAAGGAAGGCTTAGACAGGAAATTGAAGGCATGACATACACTCTAGCACTGCATGGAGCAGATGTTTAAAGGGTATATTGGGGGAAGAGTTACAAGCAGAAAATTAATAGAGCAATGCAATCCCCTACTTTCTCATAGTTCTACAGCTTAAGCCAATTTTAGGCTGGGTACACAATTGTCAATGTTTTAGTTGAAAGGGGCCCTACATATTTACAGGATATGTAACTCTCTACATATTTATAGGATCAGAGAAATGAAGGATATACCTGTGACTATATAACAATGAGTGGGGAAATGACATTGTTAGAAAGGGGGAAACTCCAAAGCCTAGCTGTTGGTGTCATCCCATTTGTTCCATTTGTTTTGAGCTAACTCTGACTTGCTATAGAGACTTCTTATAATTTTATGTTGTCGTTGCATCCATTTTGAATATTAATTTAACTTTATCATATCAGAAGCAGGGGTCTGTCACCCTTGACACCATTTCCAGTTTACACCAAACACACATGGCTCCAGAAGGGTGGCCAGAGATAAGAAATTTGAGGTATCTCTCTTGCCTAGCAGATGGAGCTCCCAACTTTCCTGCCATTTAAATGGCCCATTTAGGTATTTTCCCATTAACTCACAGTGACTCACAATCTATTCCCTTATATTTCCTTTATATATGCTGCCTCTCTCTCTTTCTCTCTCTCTCTCTCTCACTCACTCACTCACTCACTCTCTTTGCCTGACTTCATTCCTGCCTCACATGAACTGGAGAAAGAGAACTGCCCTCCAGACTCACTATGTTCTCTTCACCCAGGATCCGTAAGCGAAATCGTTCAACTCGTCTCCTTTTGGGGTGGTGTATTAAATTTGCACCTTCCATCTGAAGAATGAGGGACTGCCCCAGCTAGCTTTTCTCTGGGATGAGGGATGGGGTGTGGATGGGGGAGACACAGGGTTGGGCTCAGCCTGAGCCATGGTCAGGCAGGGGTCAGACAAGACCCAAAAGGGTGTCTGCTATTATAACTAAGTTTCCCATGGGAAGGAACCCCCTGGTCATGGGTTGGACAACTAGGCGTTAGGCCATCCACCAGGTAAAAGAAGTATCCCTGTGGAAGGCACACTGTAAATACCCATATCTAGCTACCCATCATTTCTTGTTAGGGCAGGATTGCTAGATGCTCTGCTACTAGAACCCCCGTTTCGCTGAGGGTTGTCAAGACACCTGCTGAGCCAGCTCTCTGCTAGTCTTCCCAAAAGGGAGGAATTGAGCCTGTAGGCCCATCAAGATCTGTCTCTCCTTGGATGCATGAAGGGGAGTTTAAAGCGGCTCGAGGGCATTCCTGATAGAGGGAATAGCATGTGTAACTGGAGGAAAACTGGAGATTGTGGTGTGATTGGGAAAGTGCGAATATTTTGACCTGACTAAAGTATACTGTGTGAGGCCAGAGGGGAATGGGTATTGGAAAGTGAGGGGCTGTGTAGAAGGGCAGGATTCCAAAAAGGCTGCCTGGCAGAAGCACGTGCAGAAGGCTTGATATGCCATGTTTTGGTGTTTGCAGCTTTCCCTCCAGGCAAGTGGATCCAGTCATATAGCCCAAATGAAATGCGAGCTGGGTGGCGTGTCATAAAATGCGGCTCCAGACAGTCCCAGTCCACAGGAACTAGGTGGTGGAAGTAGGTGGTATTCAGCTCCATCTTGTTGCTATGTGGAAATTTGTGTCCAGTGTCACCAGAACTTTGGGTTTTTTAGGTGGAGCTAGAAATATGCGTTTATGCACAAAATATTCCAAATTTCAATGTTGGAAACAAATTCAAATTTACTTAACAAATGTATGGGCCAAAGTAAACATAGACTGCATTGCTTTCCAATCCCCATGGGAGATGAAAGGGACCATATGAGATCTTAAAAGGGTGACCGATGGGGTCAGTTTTGTTTTTTGGAAGGATTAGTTTGGAAACAATTTGCGGAATAGATTGGAGGAGATAGGATAGAGTCAAGAAGAGTAATTTGAAGCTTTTGAAATAAAAATTGAGAAGCTGAAAGGCAACAAGGATAAAGCTGAGGGGCATTTAGGAGAAGAATCGACAAGATTTGGTACCACTGGGATATAGATACTGAAGACAACGGGGTTTCGAGTGACATTTATTTTTCTGATTTGGAAGACTAGGTGAATGATCTTTTCGGTCACTGAAACAGGAAATGAGGAGGCAATGCTGGCTTCCAAACCAATACTGGGAGTTCTTTTTCCATACATTGAGTTTGAGTATCTGTGGGAAATTCAAATTAAAACCTCAGAGCCAGTTTGGTGAATTCGATAGCTCAGAGAAGAAGTCAGATTAGGGTTATGTACTGGGGAGTCATCTGCAAATGGCTCCTATTCATTCTTTCAACAAACACACATATTTTTCTTTGGTATGCCAGGCCTTGTGCTTGTTCCTGGGAATACAAATTGTTCTCCAAGCTCATGAAACTTGCAGGCAGATAGTACACAAGAAATAGCTAAGCACTATAGCTAGCACACAAATACAATAAATACAAATTGTGATAACTGCTAGACAGGCATAACTTGGAGATATCATGGGGTTGGTTCCAGACCATTGTAATAAAGCGAATATCACAATAAAGTGAGTCACACAAAGTTTTTGAGTTTTCCCAGTGCATACAAAACTTATGTTTACACTTGCCTATTAATAGTATAGTGTAATAGACTAGTTAACACTGGTTTAGTAGGTGTGCAATAGCATTATGCACACTTACAACTCTAGTCTATTAAGTGTGCAATAGCATTATGAACTTATTAGCATTACTATTAACAGTATAGTGTAGTAGACTACACTAGTCTATTAAGCGTGCAATAGTATTATATCTAAAAAAGTAAACTGTTAATTTAAAATACTTCATTGCTAAAAATGCTCGCAATCATCTGAGCCTTCAGTGAATTGTAATCTTTTTGGTTGTGGAAGGTCTTGCATCAATGTTGATGGCTGTTGACTGATCAGGGTGGTGATTGCTGAAGATGGGGGTGACTGTGGTAACTTCTTAA
This sequence comes from Homo sapiens, assembly GCF_000001405.40. Lineage (NCBI taxonomy): Eukaryota > Metazoa > Chordata > Mammalia > Primates > Hominidae > Homo > Homo sapiens. The sequence goes on along the minus strand of NC_000012.12, from coordinate 39,268,278 downwards.
AATAAGACAATAATGAAGTTTGCCTCATCAATTGACTTTTCCTTTAACAAAAGATTTCTCTGTAGCATGTGATGCTGTTTCATAACATTTTGCCTACAGTAGAACTTCTTTCAAAATCTGAGTCAGTCCTCTCAAAGCCTGCCACTGCTTTATCAACTAAGTTTATGTAATCTAAATCTTTTGTTGTGATTTCAGCGATGTTCAGTGTCTTCACAAGGAGTAGATTCCATATCAAGAAACCACTTTCTTTGCTCATCCATATGAAGCAACTCCTCATCTGTTAAAGTTTGATCATGAAATTTCAGCAGTTCAGTCACATCTCCAGGCTCTACTTCTAATTCTAGTTCTCTTGCTATTTCACCACATCTGCAGTTCTTTTCTTTGCTGAAGACTTGAAGCCCTCAAAATCATCCATAAGGGTTGGAATGAACTTTTTCCAACTTTGTGTTCATGTTGCTATTTTGACCTCTTCCCAGGAATCAAGAATATACTTAATGGCATCTAAAATGGCGAATCTTTTCCAGAAGATTTTCAACTTACTTTGCCCAGATCTATCAGAGGAATCACTACCGATGGCAGCTATAGCCTAATAAAATGTATTTCTAAAATAATAAGACTTGAAAGTAAAAATGATTCCTTGTCCAAGGGGCCAGTGAAAGAGCAACTGTTTGAAGGAAAACTCAATTTCAAGGACATAATATCTAAAAATCTCAAATGAACAAAAATGTTAAGAAAGAGAAGGGCTGAAATATGGTTGTTGGATTTGGCCAGCAAGAGGCAGCGTAGAAGAGAGAGGGTGGAGGTTGTTAGGGTACAATGATGAACTGAATCTTGAAGAGAAGTGGAGTAGAGATGAAACGTGCAGGTCTTGCTTGTGAGTCAAGCTGGGGAATTAGGGCAATAGCTAGAGAGTTGCTGAATAGAATAAGAGAACACTAGAGACGTGCAAAGGCCTTAGTATTTCCTACATGTTACTAAGATGTGATCTTTCAGCTTTAATTGTGTGGAACTTTATAATTGCTCACATTCTCCAATTTTGTGCCTGTAGCAAGGTGCAGTGCTTTCAGTGCCCATGTCGGTCCATCCGTTGTCATATATTCCAGAAATATGCTTGCACATCCCAGGAATTTTGAGGTTTGATTGTGTTCGATTTAGTATTTTAGTCTTTGATTGTCCTTCAGTTTTGTCAGCATATAAGTAACATCTTCTCAATAATGTGTTAGTCCTTTAAACTCTGTCTTATGCTCGTTGGATGTTTTCCTTAGTCAAGACTTTGTTTGTTTTTTGAGATTGAGTCTCGCTCTGTTGCCAGGGCTGGAGTGCAATGGGGCAATCTCAGCTCAACTGCAATCTCTGCCTTCTGGGTTCAGGTGATTCTCCTGCCTCAGCCTCCAAAGTAGCTGGGATTACAGGCACCTGCCACCATGCCCGGCTAATTTTTATATTTATAGTAGAGATGGGATTTCACTATGTTGGCCAGGCTGGTCTCGAAATCCTGACCTCAGGTGATCCACCTGCCTCGGCCTCCCAAAGTGCTGGGATTACAGGCGTGAGCCACTGCGCCTGGCCTGGTCAAGACTTTCAAGTGATTTTTTTTCTTTGTTCAATTGAAGGATTTCACTTGGGTTGATTAAAAACCTAATTAAAAAAAAATCCATTGCTTACTGATAACTGCTCTTTTCAATCTCTTGTGCCAGAGTATACTTTTCTTTTGGCTTATGTTGGTCATTAAAAGTCACTTTCTAAACCCTGAAATATCAAGGTGCATAACAAAATAAGACCAGACTGCTTTTGTGATCTATGATATTTTTATTGCAGAGTTTAATTGACTTTTATCTTTTTTGTTTGTTCTTTTACTTTTTTAATATGTCTAAAACCCCATCTGTGTGTGTTGTGCTATACTGCTTGATAATATGGCTCTAGATAATAGAAATCCATTACATCCCTCAGAGGAAATAAAAAACCTGCTCTCCGAGGAGTAGAGGGGAACACAAGTAGAAATTCAATCTCTGACTAAGAATCAGCATGTGTTTTCTTTTTCCCAAAGAAAGAAAGAAGAAAATAAATAAAAGGTAGAAAACTAGACCTCAGAATTGTAGTTTCGTGCTGCTGCATAAAATAAAGTCCATATGGTAGAAGAAAGGCTGTCAATAATCCTATGGAGCAGAAGAATTTTGTTCTTACAAGTAAAAAAAGAACCTGCATCTTTGTTCCTAAAATATATTGAAATTGAAGCAAGCAAGATTTATTTTCACAGCCACCATTTTCTATTTTAGACTGATATTTCTAACAATCACCAGAAATCAGCAGGAAACTCTTAAAGAAATTATCATTAAAATGCAAAAGCCCTGTGTCATCCACCCCGTAGGAAACAATGACTTTTTTTATCTTTCTTTTTTTATTATTATTATACTTTAAGTTTTAGGGTACATGTGCACAATGTGCAGGTTAGTTACATATGTATACATGTGCCATGTTGGTGTGCTGCACCCATCAACTCATCATTTAGCATTAGGTATATCTCCTAATGCTATCCCTCGCCCCTCCCCCCACCCCACAACAGTCCCCTGTGTGTAATGTTCCCCTTCCTGTGTCCATGTGTTCTCATTGTTCAGTTCCCACCTATGAGTGAAAACATGTGGTGTTTGGTTTTTTGTCCTTGCGATAGTTTGCTGAGAATGATGGTTTCCAGCTTCATCCATGTCCCTACAAAGGACATGAACTCATCCTTTTTTATGGCTGCATAGTATTCCATGGTGTATATGTGCCACACTTTCTTAATCCAGTCTATCATTGTTGGACATGTGGGTTGGTTCCAAGTCTTTGCTATTGTGAATAGTGCCGCAATAAACATACGTGTGCATGTGTCTTTATAGCAGCATGATTTATAGTCCTTTGGGTATATACCCAGTAATGAGATGGCTGAGTCAAATGGTATTTCTAGTTCTAGATCACTGAGGAATCGCCACACTGACTTCCGCAATGGTTGAACTAGTTTACAGTCCCACCAACAGTGTAAAAGTGTTCCTATTTCTCCACATCCTCTTCAGCACCTGTTGTTTCCTGACTTTTTAATGATCGCCATTCTAACGGGTGTGAGATGATATCTCATTGTGGTTTTGATTTGCATTTCTCTGATGGCCAGTGATGATGAGCATTTTTTCATGTGTGTTTTGGCTGCATAAATGTCTTCTTTTGAGAAGTGTCTGTTCATATCTTTTGTTCACTTTTTGATGGGGTTGTTTGTTTTTTTCTTGTAAATTTGTTGGAGTTCATTGCAGATTCTGGATATTAGCCCTTTGTCAGATGAGTAGGTTGCAAAAATTTTCTCCCATTCTGTAGGTTGCCTGTTCACTCTGATGGTAGTTTCTTTTGCTGTGCAGAAGCTCTTTAATTTAATTAGACCCCATTTGTCAATTTTGGCTTTTGTTGCCATTGCTTTGGTGTTTAGACATGAAGTCCTTGCCCAAGCCTATGTCCTGAATGGTAAAGCCTAGGTTTTCTTTTAGGGTTTTTATGGTTTTAGGTCTAACATGGAAGTGTTTAATCCATCTTGAATTAATTTTTTTATAAGGTGTAAGGAAGGGATCCAGTTTCAGCTTTCTACATATGGCTAGCCAGTTTTCCCAGCACCATTTATTAAATAGGGAATCCTTTCTCCATTGCTTGTTTTTGTCAGGTTTGTCAAAGATCAGATGGTTGTAGATATGCGGCATTATTTCTGAGGGCTCTGTTCTGTTCCATTGGTCTATATCTCTGTTTTGGTACCAGTACCATGCTGTTTTGGTGACTGTAGCCTTGTAGTATAGTTTGAAGTCGGGTAGCGTGATGCCTCCAGCTTTGTTCTTTTGGCTTAGGATTGACTTGGTGATGCAGGCTCTTTTTTGGTTCCATATGAACTTTAACATACTTTTTTCCAATTCTGTGAAGAAAGTCATTAGTAGCTTGATGGGGATGGCATTGAATCTATAAATTACCTTGGGCAGTATGGCCATTTTCATGATACTGATTCTTCCTACCCATGAGCATGGAATGTTCTTCCATTTGTTTGTATCCTCTTTTATTTCATTGAACAGTGGTTTGTAGTTCTCCTTGAAGAGGTCCTTCACATCCCTTGTAAGTTGGATTCCTAGGTATTTTATTCTCTTTGAAGCAATTGAGAATGGGAGTTCACTCATGATTTGGCTCTCTGTTTGTCTGTTATTGGTGTATAAGAACGCTTGTGATTTTTGCACATCGATTTTGTATCCTGAGACTTTGTTGAAGTTGCTTATCAGCTTAAGGAGATTTTGGGCTGAGACAATGGGGTTTTCTAGATATACAATCATGTCATCTGCAAACAGGGACAATTTGACTTCCTCTTTTCCTAATTGAACGCCCTTTATTTCCTTCTCCTGCGTGGTTGCCCTGGCCAGAACTTCCAACACTATGTTGAATAGGAGTGGTGAGAGAGGGCATCTCTGTCTTGTGCCAGTTTTCAAGGGGAATGCTTCCAGTTTTTGCCCATTCAGTATGATATTAGCTGTGGGTTTGTCATAGATAGCTCTTATTATTTTGAGATACATCCCATCAATACCTAATTTATTGAGAGTTTTTAGCATGAAGGGCTGTCGGATTTTGTCAAGGCCTTTTCTGCATCTATTGAGATAATCATGTGGTTTTTGTCTTTGGTTGTGTTTATATGCTGGATTACGTTTATTGATATTCATATGTTGAACGAGCCTTGCATCCCAGGTATGAAGCCCACTTGATCATGGTGGATAAGCTTTTTGATGTGCTGCTGGATTTGGTTTGCCAGTATTTTATTGAGGATTTTTGCATCAATGTTCATCAAGGATATTGGTCTAAAATTCTCTTTTTTTGTCGTGTCTGCCAGGCTTTGGTATCAGGATGATGCTGGCCTCATAAAATGAGTCAGGGAGGATTCCCTCTTTTTCTATCGATTGGAATAGTTTCAGATGGAATGGTACCAGCTCCTCCTTGTACCTCTGGTAGAATTCAGCTGTGAATCCATCTGGTCCTGGACTTTTTTTGGTTGGTAAGCTATTAATTATTGCCTCAATTTCAGAGACTGTTATTGGTCTATTCAGAGATTCAACTTCTTCCTGGTTTAGTCTTGGGAGAGTGTATGTGTTGAGGAATTTATCCATTTCTTCTAGATTTCCTAGTTTATTTGCATAGAGGTGTTTATAGTATTCTCTGATGGTTCTGTAGATGTCTATTAGGTCTGCTTGGTGCAGAGCTGAGTTCAATTCCTGGATATCCTTTTTAACTTTCTGTCTTGTTGATCTGTCTAATGTTGACAGTGGGGTGTTAAACTCTCCCATTATTATTGTGTGGGAGTCTATGTCTCTTCGGAGGTCACTAAGGACTTGCTTTATGAATCTGGGTGCTCCTGTATTGGGTGCGTATATATTTAGGATAGTTAGTTCTTCTTGTTGAATTGATCCCTTTACCATTATGTAATGGCCTTCTTTGTCTCTTTTGAGCTTTGTTGGTTTAAAGTCTGTTTTATCCGAGAATAGGATTGCAACCCCTGCCTTTTTTTGTTTTCCATTTGCTTGGTAGATCATCCTCCATCCCTTTATTTTGAGCCTATATGTGTCTCTGCACATGAGATGGGTTTCCTGAATACAGCACACTGATGGGTCTTGACTCTTTATCCAATTTTCCAGTCTGTGCCTTTTAATTGGAGCATTTAGTCCATTTACATTTAAGGTTAGTATTGTTATGTGTGAATTTGATCCTGTCATTATGATGTTAGCTGGTTATTTTGCTCATTAGTTGATGTAGTTTCTTCGTAGCCTTGATGGTCTTTACAATTTGGCATGTTTTTGCAGTGGCTGGTACCAGTTGTTCCTTTCCATGTTTAGTGCTTCCTTCAGGAGCTCTTTTAGGGCAGGCCTGGTGGTGACAAAATCTCTCAGCATTTGCTTGTCTGTAAAGGATTTGATTTCTCCTTCACTTATGAAGCTTAGTTTGGCTGGATATGAAATTCTGGGTTGAAAATTCTTTTCTTTAAGAATGTTGAGTATTGGCCCCCACTCTCTTCTGGCTTGTAGAGTTTCTGCCAAGAGATCATCTGTTAGTCTGATGGGCTTCCCTTTGAGGGTAACCCGACCTTTCTATCTGGCTGCTCTTAACATTGTTTCCTTCATTTCAACTTTGGTGAATCTGACAATTATGTGTCTTGGGGTTGCTCTTCTTGAGGAGTATCTTTGTGGTATTCTCTGTATTTCCTGAATTTGAATGTTGGCCTGCCTTGCTAGATTTGGGAAGTTCTCCTGGATAATATCCTGCAGAGTGTTTTCCAACTTGGTTCCATTCTCCCCGTCACTTTCAGGTACACCAATTAGATGTAGATTTGGTCTTTTCACATAGTCCCATATTTCTTGGGGGCTTTGTTCATTTCTTTTTATTCTTTTTTCTCTAAACTTCTCTTCACACTTCATTTCATTCATTTCATCTTCCATCACTGATACCCTTTCTTCCAGTTGATCGCATCGGTTACTGAGGCTTGTGCATTTGTCACGTAGTTCTCATGCCATGGTTTTCAGCTCCATCAGGTCCTTTAAGGACTTCTCTGCATTGGTTATTCTAGTTATCCATTCATCTAATTTTTTTTTCAATGTTTTTAACTTCTTTGCCATTGGTTCAAACTTCCTCCTTTAGCTCAGAGTAATTCGATCTTCTGAAGCCTTCCTCTCTCAACTCATCAAAGTCATTCTCTGTCCAGCTTTGTTCCATTACTGGTGAGGAACTATGTTCCTTTGGAAGAGGAGAGGTGCTCTGATTTTTAGAGTTTCCAGTTTTTCTGCTCTGTTTTTTCCCCATCTTTGTGGTTTTATCTGCCTTTGGTCTTTGATGATGGTGACGTACAGATGGGTTTTTGGTGTGGATGTCCTTTCTGTTTGTTAGTTTTCCTTCTAAGAGTCAGGACCCTCAGCTGCATGTCTGTTGGAGTTTGCTGGAGGTCCACTCCAGACCCTGTTTGCCTGTGTATCATCAGTGGTGGCTGCAGAACAGCGGATATTGGTGTACAGCAAATGCTGCTGTCTGATCATTCCTCTGGAAGTTTTGTCTCAGAGGAGTACCCGGCTGTGTGAGGTGTCAGTCTGCTCCTACTGGGGTTGCCTCCCAGTTAGGCCACTCGGGGGTCAGGGACCCACTTGAGGCAGCAGTCTGCCTGTTCTCAGATCTCAAGCTGCTTGCTGGGAGAACCACTACTCTCTTCAAAGCTGTCAGACAGGGACATTTAAATCTGCAGAGGTTATTGCTGTCTTTTGTTTGTCTGTCCCCTGCCCCCAGAGGTGGAGCCTACAGAGGCAGGCAGGCCTCCTTGAGCTGTGGTGGAGTACACCAAGTTCGAGCTTCCTGGCTTCTTTGTTTACCTACTCAAGCCTGAGCAACGGCGGGCACCCGTCCCCCAGCCTCACTACTGCCTTGCAGTTTGATCTCAGACTGCTGTGCTACCAATGAGCGAGGCTCTGTGGGTGTAGGACCCTCTGAGCTATGTGCGGGATATAATCTCCTGGTGTGCCATTTGTTAAGTCCATTGGAAAAGTGCAGCATTAGGGTGAGAGTGACCCAATTCTCCAGGTGCCATCTGTCACCCCTTTCTTTGACTAGGAAAGGGAATTCCCTGGCCCCTTGTGTTTCCTGGGTGAGGAAATGCCTCGCCCTGCTTTGGCTCACACACGGTGTGCTGCACCCACTGTCCTGCACCTACTGTCAGGCACTCCCCAGTGAGATGAACCCGGTACCTCAGTTGGAAATGCAGAAATCACTCGTCTTCTGCATCACTCACACTGGGAGCTGTAGACTGGAGCTGTTCCTATTTAGCCATCTTGGCTCCACCAGGAAACAATGATTTTTTTAAAAAGTGCATTTACTCTTGGTTTGCTCTTTCATTTCTTCAATTCATTTTCATTTTCTTTTCTCCTCTTGACTGGTTTTAAATTTTCAAAAATGTTGGTTTCTTATTTAGTTCTTTATATAATGAAAGGCAATAAACTCTTGTCTATTCATGCCTATTCTCCAAACATACACCTTAGAGGAAAACTCTTATTATAATGTCTACTTTCATCTTGTGACATTTACCTCAGTGAATCAGAAAATATGATGGTCTCTCTATTATTATGTTCATCAGTAGATAATTATCAACTTAGGTAAAAGTGTAAAATAGATAACATCTATTGGGTTTCTATTAATAAAGAGGAGGCTTTGGCTTCACTAATCTCATAGTTCCTTGCCTCTGTTCTCCCACCCATGTCTGATAGTCGTACTAATTTTAGTTCCTCAATTCTTTAACTTTGTAGTTTGCAAAAGTAACCTTAATTCCTTTTTTTTTTTTTTTACTTGCAACAGGGTGACTGGACTTGACTGCCCACTATGTGAAATAAAAATATCAATATTCCTCTTCATTTGTCTCTCCAACGAGTAGAGGGGAACACAAGTAGAAATTCAATCTCTGAGTAAGAATCAGCATGACTTTTTATTCCAAAGAAAGAAGAAAATAAATAAAAGGTAGAAAACTAGATTTCAGAATTGTAGTTTTGTGCAATTATTACAAAATTTGTAGATCTCCTCTCTTTATGATCTACTTATTTCAATCAGGGTTTTGGTTTTATGTTATCAAGGTTATTAAAACTTGCAGTCTGTTCAGAAACCACACCCAATTCTTCCATATTTTGTCCATGCATTAATTCTAATGCTGGAAAAAAGATATATAAAATAATATTATCACAATTTAAAGAAAATTCGATTGTGACTAGGGGATGCTAAGATTTCATTTCTTCTCTTCTATTGCAAAGATATTGTATTAACCAGGTTCTCCAGAGGAACAGAACCAAGATGTGTGTGTGTGTGTATATATACATATATATATATATGTATATATACACACACACGTATCTATCTACCTAATCTATCTCTCTTTGTGTGTGTGGATAGGTATGTGTATTTATATACATACATACACATCTTGTGTATGTGTACATATACACACAATATACATATAAATGTGCATATATGTACACACTCATATAATATACATATAAATGTATGTGTGCATATGTTATATATATCTATATATGTGTATTAACTATAAGGAATTGGCTCATATGATTATTGAAGCTGACAAGTTCCAAGATCTGTGGTCAACAAGTTGGAGACTCAGTAGAACTAGTAGTTTAAATTCTGGTCTTAAGGTCTGGCAAGCTCGAGACCCAAGAAGAGCCAATGTTTCAATTCGAGTCTCAAGGCTGGTAAAGACCAATGTCCCAGTTCAGACAGCCAGGTGGAAGGAGTTTCCTCTTATTCATGGGAGGGCCAGACTCCTTGTTCTAATTCAGGCCTTCAACTGAATGCCCACTCCTGTGAGGAAGAGAAAACTGCTGTACTCAGTCTTCCTGTTCAAATGTTAATCTCATCCAAAAACACCCTCACAAATATACCCAGAGTGTTTGATCAAATATCTGGGCCTCCCATGGCCCAGTCACGTTGACACATAAAATTAACCATCACAGATATGATCCTAATTATTTAAAATAATGCTGCACTTTAATTTTGCTTCACATTTGGACTGTGACTTTTTAATAGTATCTTTTAAATATTATTTTATTTTTATTTTCCCCTGGTGTTTCTAATTGATATGGTTTAGCTCTGTGTCCTCACCCAAATCTCATCTTGTAGCTTCCATAATTCCCATGTGTTATGGGAGGGACCTGGTGGGAGATGATTGAATTATGGGGGTGGGTCTTTCCCATGCTGTTCTCACAATAGTGAATAAATCTCATGAGATCTGACGGTATTATAAGGGGGAGTTTTCCTGCACAAGCTCTCTTTGCCTGCCGCCATGCTCGTAAGATGTGACTTGCTCCTCCTTGCCTTTTGTCGTGATTGTGAGGCCTTCCCAGCCATGTGGAACTGTGAATCCAATTAAATCTCTTTCTTTCTTAAATTGTCCAGTCTCAGGTATGTCTTTATCAGTAGTGTGAAAGCAGACTAACACATTAATGTTTATTTTTTTCCTTGCATTTACCTTTGTCATATGTTTAATTTTTTCCAGGCTCTCAGTCATATTTTGTAGCATCCTTTTTTTTTTTTTTTTTCGTGGAGTCCTCTCTCTCAGAGTCCTCTCACTTCCTCTTCAGAATAGACTGATAGTTCTCTAGGTCTCTTGTCATATTGGTCTTTCCTTCCTTAGTCTTCCCATTTAATTTCAGTTTCCTTGCATAATGTATCTTTTCATTTTCTGCAGTATTTTCTTGTTTGGCTAGAGTAAATTCTCAAGTACCTTTTACAAAAAGGTGGATAGGAAGTAAGCTTTCTGAGTCAATTCTAACAATGGCAATCAAATGCCATGCCACTTGATTACTGAATTGACTTGCTATAGAATTTAACTGAACATTTTTTTCTCAGAATTTTGAAAATATTCCCTTACTTTCTTTTTATCATATTTTATTGCTGACAGGAAATATAATTCCTACCTAGTTCTTCTCACTTTGGAATAATTCGTATTTTCTTTTTGAAATATTCACTTTATCCTTGATGCTCTAAAATGTCTTTAAAATGTATCTATAGTCTTCCATTTCTATTCAGAATCTATTTTAATGTGAAGAAGGTGGTATTCTTTAGCTCTGGAGTATTTCTGTCTATTCTTTCTCTGAAAAAAATATCCCCCCTTCACTTTGCTATTCTCCCTTTTTAAAATTGTAATAAACAGGGGCTTATCCAGTGCCACCTGGGGACCTGCCCTGCAAGCATGGGAAGGGAGGCTAGGCACAAATCCCAGATGGCAGAACAGGAGGGCTGAGGCCCTCCAGACCCCTTTGGGTTGGGGCCTTGAGAAAAAGAGGAGAGAAGTCTCAATTTTGAGTAGGTGGCTTGTTTTCTACTTAGGAGAAAAGCAGGACTGTGTGGAGCCACACCCGCTTATGCTTGCCCCTTCTGAGCTCTGCCTTCAGGGTCCCTGAGACTTGCTGCAGGTACCATGGTCTCTGCTGGGCAGGTTTCTCCTCTGGGGCTTCCCTTAGTCAGTGTTTGGAACTTCTTGCCAAATCCTATATCTGTTTCCTCATATTACCTATCACTTTCTCATTTTGCTACTTCTTGGAAAATTTTTTGCACTTAATTTTCCAGTCTTTCTTTTGAATGTTCTAGTTTGGCAATATGGCAATGGTATTTTTCACTGCTAAGAGCTCTTTCTTGTTCTCTCATTGGCCATTTTTTTATAGAAACATTTTCTTATTTTAGTTATAGAATGACATTTTTTCTCTTTTTCTCCACAATTTTTGGAAGATTTTCTTCTATTCCCTGAATTATCTCTGCTTTATTCAACATCAGTTTTTCTGTTTGTTTTTGTCTTTATACGTTGCACATTTTCCTCATTCTCCTGTTGGTTCTATGTAGTAGGATCCTAGAAAAGAATGAAAGACCAAGAAGCTGGTGTGGTTTCCTCTACTGTGTAAATGGAGGGTTTCTGACATGGGTGGGAACTATGTATGGAGAGTGAGAAACACATCACCATATAGATTTCACTTTAAGAACAGTAGGTGGGGGAAGAGGGTTTTTAGAATAAAGAGCTCCAGAAATACCAGAATGAAGAGGGCTTTATTATGGGGAATGGGAATCTTTGCTTTCCCCAGAGAGTTCTTTTAATTATTTAAGAAAAGGCTTCCCACACTGCTTGAGTACAAATTATTCCACACTGCTTGAGTACAAATACCTGTTGTACTTCTGTGAGAAAAGAGAAGGGGATGGAGAAGACTTCTGTTGGTTCAGCTGCTCCAAATGCAGTTCGCAAAAGCACTGTGTTAAGTTGCCCTTCTTATCCCTGCCTTCCCTCAAACCTACTAACTCTAAGCCCAGATCCCTTCCAGGTTTCAATGCATAGATTTGTTATTATTATTCCTGAAGAAACTCTGGGAAAGAGTTTTCACCTCCATAAAGATGCTTATATCTGTTTTCTTTTTTTTCTCAGAAATGTTGAAATCTGCCTTCTGTTTATTGTTATGACTTTATTTTACTTATTTTTTTCACTCTGATAATTTTATCTAAGTAGTAGTGTTGAGGAGTAAGGGCCTGTGAACCATAAGTTCACATTTTTGAGCCACAAATTTCTTCACTAGAGCAAGATGGCAGAATAGGAGTTTTCTAACATCTCTCCCCTGTAAAGAATCAATTTTTGTCAACTACCCACGGGTGAGAGTAACTCTGTGGGAGTCTGGGAGTTCAGCAGAGAAGTTGCTACACACTGTTAGAGCAAAAAGTCCAAGATGCATGAAGTGGGTAAGAAAAACAGTTGCACTTTACCTGCATCACCCACCCAAGGTGGTATAAGTTAGTGCCAAGAGAGACCTCCTCAGCCCATGATTTCTCCCCCAAGAGAAAGTGAGAGTGTAATGGGTGAGAACCTAGCTTCTCCAGCCATGCTGGATACTGTCCAAGAGATGTACTTTTTCTTGCCTTTCCTAGAACTCTTAGGTGATCAGCCCAGCTGAATGATGGGGTGAAGATGGAGGCAAGGAAGGGAATTCTCTCTGTGGACTGCATCAGGAAGCCTGCCCATGAGCTTCTCAGGATACCTCATCCTTGGACCTCCTCCCCCTAGCTGACCCATGGACACCCCAAACACTCTCTGTGCTTCATCCCCCCATAGGACAGCTCTCTGAGCAAGCCGTTATGGATGACAAGTACAAGTGTCTCATGCTGGCAGCTGGCTCAACTCTGCAGAATTGGAAGAAGGCACAGAATCTTGAGTATTTTAGGGAACTGCTCCCGGAGAAGACAAACAGGAGGTTCTCAGCACCTGGCCTGGCTTTGCAGAACTGAGAGAATACAATCTTAAGAATTCCCTGTAAGAGTAAAGAAGAGGTGTGGCATGAGTGCTTTTATTGTAATAGGTATGAATATTTAAGAAAACAATAGCTGAAAACTCCCCAGAAAACTCCCCAGATCTGGAGAGAGATATGAACATCCAGATTCATTAAACTCAAAGATCTTCATACAGGTTCAACTCAAAGGAAGCTACAGGGAGACATATTATAATCACACTGACAAAAGCAAACATAAAAATATAATTTTGAAAGCAGCAAGAGAAAAGAGGTTTGTCACCTACAAGGGAAACTCCCTGAGGCTATCAACAGATTTCTCAGCAGAAACCTTGCAAAAAATGGGGGAGAAGGATACTATAGTCAAAGTTCTGAAATAAAAAAAACCTCTCAACCAAGAATATTTTGCTTGGCAAAGCTGACCTGCAGATATGAAAGTACGATAAAGGCTTTCCAAGACAAAGTTGAGGGAGTTCATCACCACTAGATCTGCCTTCCAACAAATGCCAAAGGGAGTTCTTCAATATGAAATCAAAGGACACCTATTAGTAAAATGAAAACATATAAAAGTCTAAAACTCACCAATAAAGGTAATTACCCCATCAAATTCAGAATGTTCTTTTGTTTTGAGACAGGGTCTTACTCTGTCACCCAGACTGGAGTGAAGTGGCACCATCATAGCTCCCTGAAGACTTGACTTCCTAGACTCAAGAGACCCTCCCAAGTAGCTAGGCCTATAGGGGTGCCACCATGCCTGGCTTAATTTTGTTATTATTATTGTTATTATTATTATTAGTGTAGAGATAGGGTCTTACCATTGCACAGACTTGTCTCAAACTCCTGGGCTCAAGTGATCCTCCACCCTTGGCTTCCCAAAGTTCTGGGATTCCAAGTATGAGCCACCATTTCCACCTCAGAATATTCTAACACTGTAAGGTGGTGTGTAGATAACTTAAAGTTCTAGTAAAAAGATTGGAAGACAAAAGTATTAAAAATAACTATAGCGACAGTAATTTGTTAGTGTAGACACATTATAAAAAGATGTAAATTGTGACATTGGAAACAAATTGTGAAGAGGAAATAAGATGTAGAGTTTTTATATGCAATCAATGTTATCAGCTTAAATAGACTGTTATGACTATAAGATGTTTCATATAAGTATTATGGTAACCACAAATCAGAAACCTATAGTAGATATATAAAAAAGAGAAAAATTCAAAGCAAAGCATCACATAAAATTATTAAATCACAAAGGAATATAGCAAGAGAGGAAGAAAAGAATGATTTACAAAGTAACCAGAAAACAATTAACAAAATGGCAGTAGAATGTTTTTAACCCATCAATAGTAACTTTAAATTTAATGGGTGTAATCAAAAGACATATGGTGCCTAAAAGGATTTTTATAATATCCAAATATTTGTTGGCTACAAGATATTCTCTTCAGTTTTAAGGATGCACAGACTGAAAGTAAAGGGATGGAAAAACATATTCTCTGCAAATGGAAAGCAAAAGAGAGCAGAGTATATTTGTGTATACTTAGACAAATAGACTTTAATTCAAAAACCATAGCAAGAGACAAGGGAGGTCATATAATGATAAAAGGGTCAATTTATCAAGAGGTTATAACAATTGTAAATATATATGCACCCAAATCAGAGCACCTAAATACATATGGCAAATTCTATAGATCTTAAGGAAGAAATAGACAGCAATAAAACAATAATAGGGGACTTAATTACCACTTTCAACAATGGATAAACTATCCAGACAGAAAATCAATAAACAAACATCATATTTAAACTACGCTGAAGACAAAATAAACTCAAATACATATACAGAACATTTCACCCAATAGTAGCAGAATGCACAGTCTTCTCAAACACACATGGAGCATTCTCCAGGATAGATCATATGCTAGGCCACAAAACAAATCTTAACAAATTTAAGAAGATTGAAGTAATATTTTCTGATCACAATGATGTGAAACTAGAATCAGTAGGAGGAAGAAAATTGGAAAATTCACAAATATGTGGAAATTAAACAACATATTGTCTAACAACAAATGGAATATACCAGGTTTCTACTGGGCAAAGCTCAAAGACAGCATCAATTTCACATAGAAAAACAAAGATAGAAGGAAGAAATAAAGATTATATATTTTTTCTTTTTTTCTGAGGGTTTAGAATTCTCTAGCTTGAGCCAAACTCTCAAGGACATTTTTTTTCAATTTAAAAGTAGGAAAATAAAAAAGAATACAATTGAATTAACTTGTATTATATGACATGACTTGTTTCTTTAATTAGACTTTGACCTTGGTATAAATTTTCTTGGACTTTATTCAGAGAGCATTTAGAAATATTTTAAATGCAAATTAGAATCTTTATGTAAAAGGATTTAGAGAGACTGAACATAGCGGAATGTAGGATTCAATGTGAAATAAATAAGGGGTACCTAAATTGAATTATAGTCATACTTATTAGTTAGAGTTCTCCAGAGAAAAATAACAAATTGGATAAATATATATGCAGAGAAAAATTTGTTGTGAGGAGTTGGCTCATACATTTATGAAGGCTGGCAAATCCAAAGTCTTCTGGGTGATCTGGCAGGCTGGAGACCCAGGGAGGCGTGCCAATGGTACAGTTCAAGTCTGAAGGTCATCTGCTTGCAGAATTACTTTTTTGCTTGGAAGAGGTTAGTCTTTTTATTCTATCAGGCCTTCAGTTGACTGGATATGGCCCATTCACATCATGGAAACCAATATGCTTTACTCAAAGCCACAAACACCCTCACAGAAACATTTAGGAAAATATTTGACCAAAAATCCGGGCACTGTGGCCCAATCAAATTAACACATAAAATTAACCATCATGAGTCCACCCCTTGTCAACATGGCACCTTTGTGCATCTCCTTAAACCATTTCTAATCTCCAATTAAAGACAGTAACAAGGTCATACTTCTGGCCTAACATGATACAACTATCCTGTATACAATCAAAAACACATTAACTATTTCTCCAAAAAAGGATGCAATGTCTTTGGGTGGCACCTACTCTTCTTGAATCCAATAGCTGAAATATTTGATGTTTACATAGTTAATTATACTTAAATAGTATGATATAAAGTCAATACATCTTACGTCACATGAAAAAGGGGATAAGAGAAGTCAGAAAACAAGGTTTGCTGTACATGCACACAAACATATTCATAATAAAAGAAGAAAGATATACTTATGGCAGTTGCAGTACTGATTGCTGTAGCCGGTCATATGACTGTAGCTGGTATTTATGACTACCTT
Organism: Homo sapiens; assembly: GCF_000001405.40. Taxonomy (NCBI): domain Eukaryota; kingdom Metazoa; phylum Chordata; class Mammalia; order Primates; family Hominidae; genus Homo; species Homo sapiens. Next base: position 39,252,149 of record NC_000012.12, on the reverse strand, counting down.
GTTCCACTACTCATTCCATATTCTTTTTGCTCTTAGCAAGCACCTCACTACTTATGTTTTTGTTTGTTTGTTTGTTTAACCTGGTGGGGTGACTCAAACCTTCATTACTGAAGGGTCTGGGCTATTAGTCATCTTGCCTAGATTGGGTTGTTGTGGTTTTCCATTGACATTAATTACAGGATTAATTACAGGACATGGTAATAATAAGAGACACTCTAAGAGGTCTTCTCTCTTCCAGACATACTCTTCCTCATTTCCATTGTAAAGTAGCATTCCAAGTCTTCCTCTGTAGTCAGGATTAATCACCTGATCCAGCACAATAACTCCTTTCTTTGTCTGTTGATTTGGAGGTATGAGGGGCCCAAAGAGGCCAGGTATCAGTTTTGACCTCCAGTTTGATGGAAACATTGTTGCGTCTCCTAGTAGAAGCACTCCTCCTTTTCACACTAAGACTTCTTGGCCAGCAAAGCATAAGGTTGTGGGAAGAGGAAACAAAATTTTTGCTAGTGGGGCACTAGCGGTAATAGTGAGCAGTCTCACTCCCATTTCCACCCATTGATTTTTGGCCCTGTGAATCTTGGCTATGGGAAAAACAGCACCATATATTGGGTGCTGATTAAGAGCACACGCAATCTCCTGGAGAATCTTGCACCAGTCCTACAAGGTATTGCCATCTAACTGGTGCTGTCACTGAGTCTTCAAAAGGTAATTCCAAAATTCTATCCAGACAGCTGCTTCGGGATAACGGAGAACATGGTAAGATATATTTCACTGGCTGTAAAATCAGTTCCTTGACCAGAAGAAATGCTGTGTGTAATACCATGATGATGGATAAGGCATTCTGTAAGTCCAAGGATGGTAGTTTTGGCAGAAACATTGCACACAGGGAAGGAAAATTAATATCCAGAGTAAGTGTCTACTCTAGTCACAATAAAATGCTACCCTTTCCATGATAGAAGTGATCCAATGTAATCAACCTGTCACTAGGTAGCTGACTGATCACCCTGGCTAATGGTGTCATATCAGACTCCATGTTTGTCTGTGCTGCTGCCTGATAGGGCACTCAGCATCAGCTGCAGCCAGATCTGCCTTGATGAATGGAAATCCATGTTTTTAAGCCCATGCATAACCATCATCCCTGCTACCATGGCCACTTGGTTCATGAGCTCATTGGATAACAGGTGTGGCTGGGGAAACAGGCAGATACACATAACTGATCATCCTATCCACTTGATTATTAAAATCCTCCCCTGAAAAGGTCATCCTTTAATGAACATTCACATAAGGCATAAATATATTCATGTTTTCTGCTGTCTTTATTGGACTATATTGTAACTAGTTTTCCAATCTTGTAACTTCCAACTCCCTAACCATCCAGCTAAACCTTTGGCCACAGCCCACTAAATGGTATATAATTGCATGCCTGGCCATTTTTGCTTTCAAGCCAAGTGAACAGTCAGGTGCACTGCTTGAAGTTCTGCCCACCAGTAGGATTTCCCTTCACTATTGTCCTTCAGGGATGACCAAGAAAGGGAGTATGATGCTGCGGCTGTCTACTTTTGGGTGGTGTTTGCATATTGTGCAAAACCAACTGTAAATCAGGCCCATGTCTTTTCTTCCTCCGTAAATCAGGCCTGTGTGTTTTCTTCCTCTGTCAACAGATCATAGGGAACTCCACATGAGGCAATAGGTGCAGGCTGGGAGAAAGAAGGTGGTATAGCAGGAATGGAAAGCATGGGCATCTGGGATGCTTCTTCTTGGAACTGACTTGTGCCGTCAGGGCATGCTTGGGGTCAACCTCATATATACTACTTCCATTTGATGGTAAAGTGCTAATGTACACACTCAATTTTATGGCTTTGAGTGTCACAAAACACCTAGTTACTAATAGGAAGCCCAGGTCTCATGGTAACTTGGTGGCCCATGGTTAAGTGTTCAGTCTCCATTAAGGGCCAATGGCAGGTCAAAAGCTGTTTTCCAAAAGGAAAGTAGCTATCTACAGAGGATGGCAGGTGATTCTCCTAAGGGGGCCTACCAAAGGCTTTACACACATCCCTATTTGCCACTGACATTTCAGACACCATTGGATCTGCTGAATCATATGGCTCAAGTGGCAGAGAAGCTTGCACAGCAGCTTGGACCTCTAGCAAAGCTTTCTTTTGTTCTGGGACCCACTCAAAACAAGCAGCTTTTAAGGTTACTTGGTAAGCAAACTGGAATAACACACTCAAATGAGAAATATGTTTCCTCCAAAATCCAAAGACACCCACCCACATTATGGAGAACAATCTGCTTTGCTCCATGTCCACCAAGTTAAACGTTAACCTCATCAAAAAACATGCTTACAGAAACATCCAGAATAAGACTTGACTAAATATCTGGGCACCGTGGCCCAGCCAAGTGTACTAATAAATTTAACTATCACATATAGTTTGATGTAATCTCACTTATCCCTGATGAATGTAGATACCAAAATCCTCAACAAAATACTAACAAACCAGATACAACTGCCCATTAAAAGAATTATACACCATGACCGAGTAGGATTTATCCCTAGAATGCAAACGTGTTTCAACATACACAAATCAATTAACAGATAGGAGGATAAACCACATGAACAGAAAGAGGGGGTAAAATCACATGTTCAACTCAATAGACAACAACAACAACAACAAAAAGCATTTGACAAAATTCAAAGCTGTTTCATGAGAAAAATTCTCAAAAAATTAGGTTTGGAAGGAACTTACCTCAACATGATAATGGCCATTTATGAGAAGCCCACAGCTAACATATTCAGTGGTGAAAAGCTGAATAGCTGAATTCTTTCTACGATTTAGAACAAGAGAAGGATACTGTCAACTCTCCTATTCAGATTAGTACTGGAAGTCCTACCTAGAGTAATTAGGAAAGAAAAAGAAATAAAAGGCATAGAAATCAAAAAAGAAGAAGTAAAATTGTCTCTGCTTGCAGATGACATGATCTTATATATAGAAAAACCTGAAGATTGCTAAAAAAGAAACTGTTAGAACTAATAAGCAAATATAGTGAATTCTCATGATAAAAAATCAACATATAAAAATCAGTAGCATTTCTAAACACTAATAATAATCTATCCCAAAAGGAAATTAAGAAAATAATTCAATTTACAGGAACATAAAAAAATGCTTAGGAATAAGCTCAACCAAGGAGGTGAAAACTTGAATGCTGAAAATGACAAAATATTGATGAAAGAAATTTAAAAGGCACAAATAAATGGAATGGCATCTCATGTTCATTGATTGGAAGAATTAATATTGTTAAAACATCCATATTTCCGGTTTTTTTTTATAGAAATAGAAAAAACAATCTTGAAATTCATTTGGAACCACAAAAGACCTTGAGTGGCTGAAAGCATTTTGAGCAAGAAGAACAAAACTAGAGGTATTACATTCCCTGATTTCAAAATATATTACAAAATGACAGTAATCAAAACAGGATGATATTGGCATAAAAACATACATAGACCAATGAAATCGAATAGAAATCCCAGACAGAAACCCATGCATATATGGTCAACTAATGAACAAGGGTGGTAAGAATTTACAATGGGGAAAAGATAGTCTCTTCAATAAATGCTGTTAAAATTAGATATTCACATGCAAAGGAATGAAATTGGACCCTTATATAATATATAAAAATCAACTCAAAATAGATTAAGGACAGTGATATTTTAAAGGCTTTATTCTATCAGCTGAGAATAGTAATAACTCAAGAATAATTTAAATTTATACAATTATTTTGAATAATTTTATTGAATTTGAGTAATTATTATTTTGAATAATATTATTTAAAATAAGTTTAAATTATTGTTTTCTTCCTTAAAATGTCCACACTATTGTGCTCTTGATTTGGTCCTTGGATGTATCACATCTAGAGAACATAATAAGAAAAACAGACCACTGAAATATGCATTTATTATTTAGCTACATTAAATCAGAAGAACATTTTAAATTAGCCCTGTGCATGTAGATGGTTGGGGTTGTGGCAAGGTTTCTTTTCAAAATTCGTTAAGATGGGTATGTTAATATTTTCATTTATATTTGAGGCACTTATATGGATATTTTACCCCATATTCCTAATTAAGATAACATCCAGAAGGTATCAATAATAACATTATATAAAAATAGCTAAAGTAAGATTATTCACTCCATAGCGATTTTTATGATGTACCATTCATTTAATAATTCATTTTTATTTATCTATAACTCATTTACTGTCTCCCTACTTTGTTATTGACTACAGGCTAAGGAAAATCTGTTTTTTTCTTGTTTTTTGTTTTTTTGTTTTTTGAGATGGAGTCTCGCTCTTGTTGCCCAGGCTGGAGTGCAGTGGTGTGATGTTGGCTCACTGCAACCTCCGCCTCTCGGGTTCAAGTGATTCTCATGCCTCAGTCTCCCCAGTAGCTGGGATTACAGATGCCTGCCACCATGCCCGGTTAATTTTTGTATATTTTGTAGAGACGGGGTTTCACCATGTGGGCCAGGCTGGCCTCAAACCCCTGACCTCAGGTGATCCACCCCCGTTGGCCTCCAAAGTGCTGGGATTATAGGAATGAGCCACCATGCCTGGCCAGAAAAATCTGTTTTTTAAGAGAATGGACATAATTTCCTACACTTTAGTTCATCATAGGTTTGCCAGATAAAATATAAGATGCCCCGTTAAATTTGAATTTCAGATAAATAACGTTTTTAGTATAATTATTTCCCAAATATTACCTGTGACATACTTATTCTAAAAATATATTTGTTGTTTATCTAAAGTTCACATTTAACTGGATATTCTGTATTTTTATTTGCTAAATCTGACAATCCTAGTTGGTCCAATTATTTAGGTTATCAGCAGCTTTTAGGGAAGGACAGCATTTGAGAGGCAGGATAGCACAGTGATTTAGAGTTTGGATCAAATTAGATCTGGAATCTATTACTGTCTTAGAATATTTCAATAATGTGACATTGAGGGAAATTGGTATTCTTGTTTATAATATGTAAATAAGGGCATCTTCATAAAGCTGCCATAATGGCAAAATAAGATAATTTATAAAGGTATTTATCACAATGACTGCATTCAATAATTCATAGTTTTGTTATGATTGTTTTAGGTTCATGATTTGAATCTACTAAAACATATACCCAGATATATATAAAAAAATAAAATCTAAGTAGCCCTTCACTGCATCCTCATTTCTCTTTTTGTTTCACTCACCCTGGGGTCTGTCTCTTGGCCATCTCATTATTTTGATTCTCATCCCCCTATAGCTTACATCCAAAACTGTATTTTAAGCACTCCACTAATAATTTTAATCCAAGATTTTTAATCTTTTCGTTGGATATCTTCCAGAGTTTTTAAATAAAGATTTTAGACATACCATAACTAATTTTATTAGCCGTAATTCCCCCCCAAGAACCTACTTCCTATAGCCTGTCACTCCCATTTTACATCTTATACTCTAGTAAAACTAATCAGTCTAAGGTACCTGTCCTCTCCTTCCACAATTGTTTGATTTTTATAATCCACTTTAATTCCAACTTTTTCATTACCTCATTATTTCATTTCCCTAGCTGCTCAGCTGAAATTTACCTCCTCCACAAAAGAACTCCTATATACCTGGCATTCATTTTCATTATAAAACAGCATTTTGTATTATATTTATGGACATGTTTTTATCTCTACTGCAGTAGTATATAAGCTCACTGTAGGGCAGAATCAACGTTTATTTGATTCTTTTATGCCCAAAGAAGCTAACAGAGTGTTCTGTATGTTGTAGGTATTCCCTGGATGTGTATTAACGAACATGAGGCTCTTGCCAGATACATATTTAAGGAATGCTAAGTGACAACAGACATCTAATTGAGATGCAAGATGTGGGAATTCCAGTTTGAGGTCAAAACCCAATGATTTTAAGAAAGTGTAAATGAAAAATGTTATCTGTTGCCTTTTCTTTCCTCCCACCCTCTTGGGTTGAGATAGGGAAGCTGGCAACCTTTTCAATCAAGGCTATCAATTCTTTTGAGATATCTGAATGGGATAGAAAATTCAGAACTTTATTTCTCTTTGGGCTGCATAGAAGCTGAGCAGCTCGTGTAGAGGGGCCTGCGAAGAAGGCCTGGGTTGCATGGCACCTAGGACATAGAAGGAGCCCCAAATGGTTTTTTGAGATCAATTTTCACCTCCTTAGTTCTTTCAGGTTCCATGGGACCAATTATTTCTGTGGGTGAGGTCAGTGTAGCATCAAAGAACTCCTACCTGCTTTTCCAAGTGATGCCACTTACTTCTGTAACAGCTACCTTCTTACTTTGCTGGTTATTACAAACAACTGGAACAACAGACTTAGGCCCTATTTATCATACTCTGTGACTTCCATAGGGACATAGTTGCGTCAGTTTTATAAATTTTGTCTTCCTTTCTCTACTGTTGAACTTATAAAATTATTTTTTTTCTGAAGAAAAGAAAAATATTCTTCCCAACAGAGATTACCAGATGATTTAGAATTTACTTGATATTTATGTCCTTTGGTCTCCATAGCAGCCAACACTCTGAGGCAGAGGCCCATAGTTACAAAAAATCTTTGTTTATAGCAGAAAGTTTTTCTAATTGAAAAACTAAATTTTCTTTCCAGAACAGTTCAATATTTCAATAGAATAATGTGTTTAAAATAGAGCTCTAAAATTATTCCACCACAATGCAGCTATATATTATAAGTAATATTGATTACATATTTCTCCACATAGTTCCAAAGTTCAAGATGATTCCCTTTATAGAACAATCTAGAATTAGGGAGTGAGAAAATAATTACTCCTGCCTACCTTTTGATAATTTGATGTAAGAATTGGGTTTATAGGACACTGGAGACAGCAGTCTCTGCATTGCCCAGCTGCACATGACTGAGTCTTAAAATTATAGACAATTGGGGCTAGCTGGTTCTCTTTTTGAGGCCATCTCATTCAGCCATATTACTTTATAGATATAAACACCAAGCCTCAGAAATACTAGGAGACCTTGCTCAATCAATGCATTGTTGAAACAAGACTGAGATTTTAAGCCTCCTAACTTCCGATACTGAAAGAACTTCTTCCACTATGGCCTAAGCTGCTGTGTGACTCTATAGAGAATGTCCTACCTGAGCATGTGTGTTATTTTAGCCACAAGCTGCTGCCCAATTTCCTTTGATTAGATGGAACTTGAGTCATGTTTGTATTGGGGTCCAGTGTTCATGTGTTGTCTTGTCATATAAAAGTGACATTTTCATTAATTCTTCCAAATTATAGAACTTTGGAGGCATTCTCCCATGTGTGTGTGAGTACTCACTCACCAAAATGATAGAGGGAAAAATTGGCGTTTCTTACATGGCATAAAGGTTTGTCCTTGTGGAAGTTACCTTATTAATTAATATTTGTTGTATCTTATGTTTTCAAGTACATAGAAAAATATTAGAGTCCATAATGTGTGTTGAGTGCCTGCTGTGAAGCATAAGGTGGAAAGGTGATAATACCTATAGAATTAAGAACATTTTAGGTAGAGGATGTGTAAAGTGCATTGGTATCTCAGAGGAATGAAAAACGTATTAATTATGAAAAGAAAATCAAGAAAGCCTCCAGGGAGGTGGCAGTATTCAAACTGGGAGGCCCTGAAGTTTAACAAAAATTTCAAACTGGGAGGTAATAGAACTCATTTAAGTTTGAGGAAATACTACGTGTAAGCACAATTTTGCATATTTTCAGAGAAAGGAGAGTGGCATAGCAAGAATATAGTTTTATCACACCCCCCCCCCCCACCACCCCACACACACGAGATAATTTCATAAATAGCTCACACAAGAGAGCAGAAGTGTTGTTCTTGAGCTAACCTGCACTGGCTCACAGGTTAAAAGGTGGCTGTTTAATTTTTAGGAATTTTGTGAGCCAGTTATGAAACACAGCCATTGTTAAAAAATATACATGTCAACAGTTAAATAAATTATAATAAAACAAAGGTAGTATATACTCAAAATATATCCATGCCTAATTATTTTATTACATCTTTTGTTACCTTTAATTTTGAAATCAGTTACATTTGTTGTATCTGTATGATGAAAATACTATGTGATGGTGTGCTACTGTGCATCTCTTCCCAACTTCGTTTTCAGTGATGCCATGTTGGTAGCTTAAAGTCAGCCATGGTCGGAATATTTACACTATGGAAACTGACAAAACTACAAATCAGGGCTTGACTCATTGTTTTATTGATTGCCTCGACTTAAGAATGTGATGACAAAAAGTGTTACTAATAAGGATTAAACTCAAAAGTATATTGTGTCTGTATGCATTATTTTGTGAAAAGCACAAAAATTGGAAAAACATTATTTCAGTTATTAAAAACTATAATTCAATTGGGCAAAGAAGTTGATGATGCCATTAATGAAATGAGTGAAGTTCTAACATCTGTTTTTGTTGTTTCACTTTCTTCTCACTCTTTAACGAAAATAAAAAATATCCATCCATCAATATATTTGTCAGAAATATACTCATTCACTGACAATTTGAGTGACTTCTTTGCTGAAATAAGTACTAATCAACTACTGATTTGTAATATGATTTTTTTTTCAAATCATGGTTGAATTACAAATATAGACTAGCTAAAGAATCAAGATTTGGCAAGAAATAAAAATATTATTTAAAAATCAAATGGTTATATAAATTTGTTAAAAACTGTACAACTTATTATTTGCAAATTGTGTGCTACATTTTTTATCCGAATTTGAAATAAACTATGCAATTATACTTGTGTATTTTTTTTTTTAGAGCTGGTTAAACATTTACCAGCAGCAAAAAAAGTGAATTAGAAGAGTTATGTGTATTTTTCTTCATTTAAATTACATCCTTTCAGACTTCATATGGCTCAATCAAATATATCAAGCACTGGTAGAAATTTCTCTCTTTTTTCCCAAGACACAGTTTTAAGTCATTCATTATTCATTCAGCAAATCTTTATTAATCACTCACCAGTCATTTTATTTTATTTTTTTACAAAGGCATACAATATTTGAACTGGCTTATTAAAGATTGAGAAATTTTTCATTTATTTTATGACATAAAATATGAATTCAGGTTATTAGATCAAATTTTTTTGCTAGTATTTAGAAATGAATTTTTCTTCATGAAGTGTGAATGGCTTATTGGTAAAGACTCATCAGTAAAGAAATGGAGCCTCAAAACTGAAAGTAATACACTGTTTCATCATTTTGTAGTTACATTGTGCAAATTTTAGGGGAAACTATTTGGCAGCATTTACCGACTTGGTAAAAAAAATATAACTGCTAAAACATTGTCTTATCTTTCAAGAAATTACCAATAGAACTGATTAGGCAGGTAAGACCATTGAACACTAATTATTATTATTATTACTATTATTTTTGAGATGGAGTCTCACTTGTCTCCCAGGCTGGAGTGCAGGGGCATGATCTCAGCTCACTGCAACCTCTGCCTCCTGGGTTCAAGCGATTCTCCTACCTCAGCCTCCCCAGTAGCTGGGATTACAGGCACGTGCCACCACACCTGGCTAATTTTTGTATTTTTAGTAGAGACGGGGTTTCACCATGTTGGCCAGGCTGGTCTCGAACTCCTGACCTCAGGTGATCTGCCTGCCTTGGCCTCCCAAAGTGCTGGGATTACAGGCATGAGCCACTGGACCTGGTGTGGACACTAATTTTTAAGTAAAATAGTTTATTAAAGAACAATTTAAATATACATAAAACAAGTGTTATGGTTTGAATGGGTCACCTCCAAAATTCAGGTTGCTAATATGACAGTATTAAGAGGTGGGGCTTTTAAAAGGTGATTAGGCCATGAGGGCTTTTCCCTTAGGAATAGAACTGGTGCCCTTATAAAATGGCTTCATGTAAGGAATTCATTCCTCTTGCTCTTCTGCCTTCTCTCATATGAAAACTCAGCATTTCTGCTCTCTGAAGAATGCAACAATAAGGCACCATCATGGAAGCAGACAGCAGCCCTCACTAGACACCAAATGCTGGTGCTTTGACCTTGGACTTCCAGCCTCCAGAACTGTGAAAAATAAATTTCTGTTCTTTATAAATTACCCAGTCTGTGGTATACTGTTACAGCAGCACAAACAAAGACAGTCAGGCAGTATAATATGGTGATTCCACCACTTTCCATCAATTCAGCTTCAGTAATTCTAAAGCTCATGGTCAATATTATCTTCTTTATACCCCATCCTCTACATTAGAACAGAAGCACAGAAAACGTTTACAGGCTCATTTGCAGCATCCTCCCAGAGCATAACAAAGCATTGCTCAAAGTTGGCGATGTTTGATAAAAATAAAGGAGATTAAAAATGCTTTCGAATACATCTTCAACTTTTAAAATGGGTGAGTGCAAAATTACATAGTGTAGCAATTGTTTGAGATGTACCTCTGGATTTCAGAACCTAGCCTAGCACTTGAGGGAAATCCAGTTGAAAATCCTTCTAATTTTTTAGTAGCTCCATCCTTACTTAAGGGTCAAAATAGTGCCTATTTTCCCCCAGTAAATATTTTCTCATCATTTTCTAGGCAAAAGCACAATATTGACATTTAGCTCAATTATTAATGGAATATGACCATCACTTTGTCTCTGCGTTATAATTTATGTGATTAGTGGCTAGTGGCTAAATGACCTGTTTTAATTAACTGTCAAGAAGTTCAGGCTTTGAAACTCTCAGAGAGAAAAATCACAGAAACTTTTCCACAATCAGAGGGAAAAAATTAAAGAAGTCTTACTATCTATTTATATATTTTTAGGTTGTTTAAAAATCGGAGAAGGAAAATATTAATAAAAGCCATGTAAAATCAGAGTTTTAAAAACATTTTTGATTAGATTTTGAAGGAAAATTTTAATGCAGGAAGCAAGTAAAATGATATATGCTAATAATTTTTGTAATGAGCCTTACCTGCTTGAAGAAACTTTCTCTGACCCCACAGCCTTGGGGCTTGTCTGAAATATAGGCCTTTCCTTCATATTTCCAAGACACACCTCTGTTTGCTTCTGTGATCTTTGAGAGTGAAGGCACATTTTCTTATTCATCTAGATGCACCCAGAAAATGTTAAAGAAGGGAAAGATGAATGAACAGTGTTAAAGGATTTACTTCTTTTTAAAAAACAAAAAAAATTATCAGTCATTCTTACCACATAGCTTGACTTACATTCCATTCTTGGTCTTTCTATATACAATGTCCCCTTAGCAGCAAATACCTCGTTTAAATGGATGAAATTCTCTAGCACATACACTAAAACCATGGCTTCTCCCTAGTGAGAGGGCTGAGCTTTGGAAAACAATAGAGATGATGGTGAAAGCAACAGCTCAGTACTTACAGCCAGCAGGCACACATCCTCATCCCACCACTTTGGATTTTCCTTATCTCTTAAGTGATCCTGCAGATCAGTGATTCTCAAAGGGTGGTCCCTGGACTAGTAGTATTAGCATCACCTGAGGACTTGTTGAAAATGCACATTTTTAGGTAACAGCCAACTGAATTAGAAACCTTGGGGATGGGGCTCAGGAATTTGTGTTTTAACAAACCAGGTAATTCTAATGTACACTAAAGTTGAGAAACACCACTTAGATCATTGCAGCAGTCTAAAATGAGTACTATGCCCAAATCAGTTTGAGTAATGCTACAATGCTACAAACTTTTATATCCCATGGGAAAAATCACAGGGTTCCTTAGCAAATTAAAAGCCAATCATTCTGTGGCAGGAAGCTTGATTAACTGACCATTTCTGTTTAACACTATTTGATCACAGAAACCATGAGGAAGTTGACATTTTTTAACCATTCAGATCCTGGAGTGAGGTATGGCCATGTGACTAGGTTTATCCAGTTAAATGTAGGTGGAAGTGATACGTGCCACTCACAGACCTGGTTCCCCGATATCTTTCATAAAAGATCCTTCCAGCTTTTTTCCCCTGGCCAATGCCCTGGGAAATTTTAGAAACCACATATTGAAGATTGTATGGTCTCTGTCAGCCTGAGTCCCTGAATGACTGTAGAGACACCACCCAATTGCCTCGTGGGAAACTGCCCTGAATTGTTTGAGTGAGAAATAAACTTTTATTGTCTTTGAGCTGTAAACTGAAAAATTTCCAACCATAACAGTACTTGTCTGGGAAATACAAAGCTGACCGCTGTGTTTCATTGCCACTAGTTCTAACTGGTGGCAAGCTGGAGCTGATAAAAGATCACAAGTTTTAGAGAGAAAGAGGAAAGACGCTTACTAGACCTAACTGAAGACTTTTCTGATTCATCAACAATGGATCTTGTTACAACCAACCATGTACAAACATATGGACCTATTCCCTCCTATATAGAGTGCTGGCTTTCACACTTAATTACCATAGCTATCATGAATGCCTACTTTTTTAGAACTCAAAACTGTGAGTTTTCTCTCTGAATGAACAAACTATTCAACAAATTCCTTCACAGGCATGTGATTGCTTGCCTGGTTAGTTAACAGACTCAGCCTTGTTTAGCTGTGTTTACTTTAAGTCAGCTTTATAAAAAGAGAGATCTCATTGGTTTATGGTGAGGATTAAAAGAGTACCACATGCTAAAAATCAAACACAGTAACTAGCTCTAGTAGTCCTCAAAATATTAGTTCTTTATTCATTCTCTGTTTTAAAAAGTTTTTTTTTGAGATAAGAGTGGTCTTTTCAAAGGAAAAGCTTAGTCAATGTAGGTGTTCACTTTAGAGCTTATGTGTAAAACAGAATTTATTTTTGAAAGTCACATTATCAGTATCTTGATGACTTGACACTCAGATTGTTTATTGGATTCTTGTTTCTCTTTCTAGCCATCTTGTACAAATGATGAATTCTGTACCATCTTGTCTTATACGTGGATTTGATGAACATGAACATTCATCATTTAAACAAGTCATGGATTTTATTAGATGTAGGATAGTCTAGAGATCAATCACCAATGGTTATATATTTAGTAGAGGGCTTTATGGTAAAACTCCCCTTTGCAAATTTTTCTGTCACAAGAGAAAATGTGGCATACATTGTGACCCATCCAATAGCATTATTTCCTTTTTCCTTGTGAACAGAACGTCCCTTTGTTTGAGTGACAGTGTGGCCATGCCTCTTTGCCAATGACAGTTTGAGGGGAAAGCAAGGATTACTTTTGACCAATAATCTAATTGCTGTTAAGAAAGATTTTCCTCCCCTCAAAAAGGCATAAGCTGTGCAAGAGCCTTTTTGCCTTTACCTTGTCCTTCCTGCCTGGGATCCTGTGATTTGAGGACGTTTTTTGTACCTTCAGTAGCCATTTTGACATCACAACAAGAATAAAGCCAATAGAATAGAAAGATGGAAAGAGTCAATGTTTCCTCAAGCCACAGAAGCACGTCTAGGACTAACAACCTCCAGTTATCTTATAAAGTAAACAATAAAGATGCTTGTAATTCCAGCCGTCTTTGGTGAATTTTCTCTTTATTGACAGCAAAAGTGACACAAATTAATAGCTGATATTGCATGAATGAAAAACATGTGTTTATAAGAAGTTTTAAGAATTTAATGCCAAGGGGCATTTGTTTAAATGTGTTTCTATTTAATCAGCCATGGTAAAAATGTTGGAAAGTCCGCTAATGTTTTCTGCTGGTCTGCCCTTTACTCAGGCCACACACTTAATGCTATTCACGTTCTACCAAAAGCTGGTATTCAAATAGACACTTTCTATTTTTGGAAATGCTATTGGATCTTATTTGAAAGGATATTTAAATGATAATAAACTCTCAAATAATATATAGGTGTTGCAGGTGTTTGATAAGTCTTCTATTTTATATGTGTACAAGAGAGATTTTCATATGCATGTGTTCGCTTGAGCAGCAATACTGAATGATATAATTGTTTTACAAAAATGTAAAATAAGCAAATTTGTATGTTAACTTTGCCTTTTCCTTAACTATAATTTTTATTAATTAGAACATAGAAATTTAAAATTATTTAAAAGTTCCCTTTTCATTATGAAAAGGACACTTTTTCAGTAAAACGTAAATGAAAGTAGCAATAAATTTAAAATGTTATGGCCGGTGCACTAGCTCATGCCTGTAATCTCAGCAGTTTGGGAGGCTGAGGTGAGCAGATCACCTGAGGTCAGGAGTTTGAGACCAGCCTGGCCAACCATGGCCAACATGGTGAAACCCCACCTCCACTAAAAATACCAAAATTAGCTGGGCATGGTGGGGGGCACCTGTAATCCCAGCTACTCCAGAGGCTGAAGCAGGAGAATCACTTGAACCGGGAGGCAGAGGTTGCAGTGAGCTGAGATCGTGCCACTGCACTCCAGCCTGGGTGACAGAATGAGACTCCGTCTCAAAAAAAAAAAAATGTGAGTTTCTTGCCTTTAAAAATAAAGAGAAATATCTAGCAAGGCTAACCAAAAAAGAGAGAAAATATACAAATTATAATATCAGAAGTGAAAGAAGTCAGTTACTACTGATCTCATTGACATTAAAAGGATGATAATGAAATATTATCAACTCTATGCCCACAAATTTCATAACTTAGAGGAAATGGACGGATTTCTTAAATAGTGCAAGATTAGTGAAAATAGAAGTCACTCCTGTGAAGTGCATAGGAATGAAACAGTTTGTCCCTCTTTTAATATTCCATGCCTAACCAGCAAATGTTGCCATGGTCACCTGCTTGTGTTAACATAGGATTTCAATTTATGAAGTGAATAAAACAGGCCTCAAGTAATTTATATGCTTTGTAGCTTTTCTTATCTGTGCTTAACAATGTTTCCATGCTTTAAATGTGACATTATGTAAGCACATAGACATATATAATTTTGTTGCCTATTTACAAGCAACCCAGTGAAATCTCTGGGGAAAAACCCTGCACAGTTACTGAATCATCAAATGTTGGCAGATTCTTGGACACAAGATATCGCTACTGGTATTTAGTGTGTTGACAAATGGCTTAGTTAATATGTGAATAACAGAGAAAAAATTCAGTGATCTAGTGTTCCTGACTATTTGTATTATACTTAGAGTTTATTTTTTCCCCTCGCCACAGTACATCCATGTTTTCCTGTAAGTTTTTGGACTTTTGAAAGAGTTCTTGTCTTTTATCTGTTTGGTGCCACCACGCCTGAAAATATTGTTCAGCAATGTATAGATGTAAATATGCCTTTGTAATTTGTGTTTAAATAATCCTCATGCTGCTAAAATAGCTCTTTATCTTAAATGGTAAAATAAAAAGGAACAATTAGCAAATTCAAGAATTGTGCTCCCTCTAGTCCTCAAGTCTCAAGTTAATTGCAAAATTAATTTTATAAAAGTTCCCATCATAAATCCAAAGGGTTGATAGATGGAAATTATGACAAAGTTCACCAAAAATGCAGCTTTTCCTAAGGAATTAGTTTTTAAATTTTCTTTCCAGTCTATTTTAAATAAGCTGGGTAAGTGCTGGCCATAGATCAAGAAAAGTAATTTCCATTTCCTTGACTTCTCTTGAACTATCCCCACACTCATTCAGTGTGCTTCATAGATATGGCCTATAGTAAGCTTTGTGTATGTTGGGCAGTGAGTCATTTACCCTTTTTAACCACAGGAACCAAGTTTGCTTCTACATTAATGAGAGGTAGAATGGAGAAGAAAGGGGAGAGGATTATTTTCAAGATTCATGAAGAAGCTAACGGCAATACTCTACTGGATGAACAACAGGTATAAGATTTGATCAAAAAGAATTTGGAGGAAGAAAATGGGTTTCATTTTGAATATGTTTTGTTACAGCAGCAATTCCCAAAGTGTGGACCCTGAACTAGCAGCACCAGCATCACATAGAAACTTTTTAGAAACAGATTCTCAGGTCCCGTACTAGACCTACTGAATCATAAACTTTGGGGATGAGCCCAATCCCATCCACAAAACAATCTGAGTTTTAACGAGCGCTCCAGGTGACTCTGAGTCACCTTTCTAAAGTTGAGAACCTCTGTGTTAGAATAATCTGTGTCCCAACCTGGTGTAGACTTTTGGTAGTGAATTGGAAATGAAGGTTTAGAGCTCTCAAGTCAGTCTTAGGTGGGAGATTTTGAAGTGACTAACACATAGGTGCTAGCAGAAAGCATAGAGTTAGGTGAGATTGTCTAGGGAGAGTCCTGAGGATGAGAAGAGCAGAGTTCCAAGAATAGCACCCTTGGGGCAACAGTTAAAGGAGGATGCCGGTGAAGTGTTCAGCCTGCACTGGGGCTCGACAGTCAGGCCTGCATACCCTTCCTTTGGGCTGTCCTAGTCCTAAGGCAGCCTCACTCTTAGACCTAGAATCTAGGAGCCCACAAATAAAATAGTAGCAAAATAAACATATTTGTATGGCAAGTTTTTCCATCCTAGAAAATTAGGTATGAGAAGCACATCATGATTTGTGGGGTGAGGTCGGGGGAAGGAAAACTGTTTTAAATTTTTATTTCCTTGGTTTTACCCATATGCTGAACTATTTTTTAAATTATTTTGAATATGCTTTCCAAGTTTAGTTTGATTGGTTTGTTTTGTTCCTATGGTAACATTTCAAAGCCTCCAGAAGCTGTACTGCTCTTCGTTACTTTTCTAAAACTTTCAAGCCAACAAATACATTCAGTGAAAAACAACTGTGAAGAAATTTTAGTAATTATCTCTTAATCATTCTTCACTCATTTCTTGAGTTTCTTATATACCGAGACTATTTTTTAATCATATTATATAGAAGAATACTTACTTAAAAATAAATGTATGTTTTTATAAATATGCATACTATATATGTATTCTGGATTATAGGATTATTTCAAGTAAGGTCACTGGCAAATAGCATGCTATTTATGTCAATTCTTCTCAAACTTTTTTTTGGAGCAGGAGCTATTTTTATTACTTTATTTTTTTTATTTTATTTTATTTTATTTTATTTTATTTTATTTTATTTTATTTTATTTTAGAGAGAGGGTCTTGCTCTGTCGCCAAGCTGGAGTGCAGGAGCAATCATGGCTCACTGCAGTCTTGACTTCCCTGGGCTCAGGTAATCCTCCCACCCCAAACACCTGAGTAGCTGGGACTACAGGAGCAGGCCATCATGCTTGGCTAATTAAAAAAAATTTTTTTTTGTAGAGATGGGATTTTGCCTTATTGTCCAGGCTGGTCTCCAACTCCTGGATTCAAGCGACTCACCCACCTGGCCTCCCAAAGTGCTAGGATTACATGTATGAGCCACCAGGCCTGGCCCAAACTTTAATTTTTAATTTCATAGAAATCACCTGGAGATCTTTTTTTTTTGGAGACAGGGTCTGTCTCTGTCACCCAGGCTAGAGTGCAGTGGTGCGATCTCGGCTCACTGCAACCTCTGCCTCCTGGGTTCAAGCAATTCTCTTGTGTCAGCCTCCTGAGTACCTGGGATTACAGGCACGTGCCACAACGCCCAGCTAATTTTTGTATTTTTTAGTAGAGATGGGGTTTCACCGTGTTGGCCAGGCTGGTCTTGAACACTTGACCTCGGGTGATCCACCCACCTCAGCTTCCCAAAGTGCTGGGATTACAGGCGTGAGCCACCACGCCTGGCATTGGAGATCTTATTAAAATAAAGATTCTGCATTTCTAACAAACTCTCAGTTGATCCTGATGTTGCTAATCCACAGACCACACTTTACTAGCAAAACTTCAGTTAATATTGACTGATTCAGCTGAGATGCATTAATTCAATGGAATATTTTGAAGTCATTAAAAAAAGAAGGCAGAAATAGAAAAGTTTGCAAGATGTGCTGTTTAGATAAAAAAGATAAAATGAAGAACAGTATATATTATGATTCTGCATGTTTCCAAGGAAATTTATATACGCAAAGAAAATTCCTGAAATAATGCTCAAGAAACTTAATTAGAGATTGTATTTGAGGTGGGTCAGTGATGGCCTGTGGAAGGAGGTACACTTTGTTTTATGATATCTTAACATTTGTTTTTGTTTTAATCAAGAAATATCTAAAATATACAGAGTATAAAGAACATTATAAACAAAACAAACCTCCCAAATATGTTTTTTTAAAAAATTGCTACAGATCTTTTTTTCTTAATATATCATCATGTTAATAAAACAATTGAAGCTCTCTCTTTGTGTATTTTTTTTCAGCCCTTTTGATCCCAAATCCCAGAGCTACCAGCATCCTAAGTTTATTAGTTCATTCTCATGCTGCTAATAAGGACATACCCGAGTCTGGGTAATTTATAAAGAAAAAAAAGTTTAATGGATTCACAGTTCCACATGGTCGGGGAGGCTTCACAAGCATGGTGGAAGGTGAAGGAGGAGCAAAGGAATGTCTTACATGGTGGCAGGCAAGAGAGTGTGTGCAGGGGAACTGCCCTTTATAAAACCATCAGATCTTGTGAGACTTACTCACTATTACGAGAATAGCACCGGAAAAACCCACCCCCATGATTCAATTACCTTCCACCAGGTTCCTCTACAACATGTGAGGATTGTGGGAGATACATTCAAGATGAGATTTGGGTGGAGATACAGCCAAATCATATCACTAAGATTGGTATAAATTTTTCCCACTCATATTTTAATAGGTTAATTACAAAGGAAATCTTAAAATAGGTTGGCTTTATTTTAAGATTTTATATAAATGGGGTCATGTATTCATTTTTTGAATTATTTACCATGAGTTATTGCTTTTTTGATAAAAAAGAAGGCAAAATCAAAATTAATAAATAGATGTATCAAAACCTTGTGATATAGCTATATTGTGGAAAATGTGCTAGATCAGAAATCAGGAGAGATGTCTGTAAGGTAAATCACAACTAAGCAGCTTGTGACATTGGATGAGTCATTTCACCTCTTGGGGCCACAGGTTCCTCATATGTCATCTGGTTGCTCCTAGGTCCCTCTAGCTTCTAACAGCCCATTTACAAAATATTTTAATGCATGCTTTCTTTGTCCTTACTTTATAATTGACTAAGACCTCAAATTCTCACTCAGATTCCAGGAAGCCAGCATTGTCTTTTTATTTATTTATTTATTTTGCCCATTGGGCATTGTTTTGGCTTTAAAGACAGTAGATTTTGGCTGAGGGCTGACCTCAAGTCCTCCCGACAAAGGTACTGGGGGATGATGTCTTCTGGTCCACCCTCTCGGTTCAATACTCATGAATGTTTTTTTCAGGTTGAGCTGTGACAGATTTCAGTAGTGGCAGCGAGTGCTTTGGTTATCACTGGTTTTATTGTCATCACTGTCACTATTGTAAGTGTTTTCTTGGCTTAAACATGTTGGGAGTGTGAGATGCTGGGGATGCATCAACCACTCAGGGAGCCTCATGCAGGCCTTGGCTGGTGATATGGTTTGGCTGTGTCCCCACCCAAATTTCATCTTGAATTGTAGCTCCTGTAACTCCCATGTGTCATGAGAGGGACCCAGTGGGAGGTAATTGAATCGTGGGGGCAGGTCATTCCTGTGCTGTTCTTGTGATAGTGAGTAAGTCTCATGAGATCTGATGGTTTTATAAAGGGGAGTTCCCCTGCACAAGCTCCTTTGCCTGCTACCATGTAAGACATGACTTTGCTCCTCAATTCGCCTTCAGCTATGCTTTCGAGGCCTCCCTAGCCATGTGGAACTGTGAATCAATTAAACCTCTTCCCTTTATAAATTACTCACTCTTGGGTATGTCTTTATTAGCAGCATGAGAACAGCTGGACAGCTGGAAAGGTGAGAAGTCACATTAGAAGGTCAGCTCAGCTTTCCCCCTTGTTACCAGGATTCATTTCAAAGGAGGGAAAACAGAACCATGCAGTGCCATGACTATGACATTCAGAAAGGAGCTAAATGAATGCTTTGGAGGGTCATTTGAGATTTTTGAAAAGGACTGGTGGAATTTATTACTCTATAAAATTCAGATATTATGGTAAATGTTATCTAGAGTATCAGCTAAGAAAGAAAGTGTATTTTATGATGTCTTTGCTGGAAGGAGCCATACAAGTTTAGTCTTCTATTCAAAATAGAAATGTGTGACTCACGTGATGTACAATATGTTTTTGAGGGTGAAAAATTTAGTAGTAACACCCATTTTTCAAGGATATAATGTATCTCTATAAAAATTGGTTAACCTCTTTGAATATAAATATCACCTTAATGATGCCAGTTACTTTTCCTCCCCGTTTTGACCTGAAGGAAATAGAAACAGTTTTATTAGTAATTTATTGCTGTGAAACAAGTTACCCTCAAACTCAGCTTTAGAAAACAACATTTATGACCCCGTGCTATTTCTGAGAACTAGGAATCTGGGAGAGGCTTACCTGGGTATTCAGACTCAGCATTTCTCTAAGGTTACAGTCCAGATGTTGGCCAGGACTGCAGTTTTTGAGGCTTGACTGGGAATGGAGGATTGGCTTCCAAGACGGCTCACTTGCATGATTACTGGCAGAAGGCATCCTATTCCTTGATGGCTATTGGCAGGAGGCTTCGATTCCTCAACACGTGGACCTCTCCATGGGACTACTGGCATGTTTTCATGACATGGCAGCAGACTTCCTAGGGCAACTGATCCAGAAGAGAGAGAGAGAGCAAGGAGGATGCCACAATGCCTTTTATTATTTAGTGTTGCCCATCACTGACTGTCCCTCTGCCACATTCCGTTCATAAAAGCCAGTCAATAAGTAAAGCCAACCCTTATGAGGAGGAGAATTTAACTACACTTTTCAAAGGAGTGAGTATCAAAAACTTGTGGACATATTTTAAAACCAACACAATAGTCAAAGTAATTAACTATTGAAGCCATCTATAGTTTATTGTACTCACATATAGCCAAATTTCCCCCACAGATATTCTCAAAATGTGTGGCAGAGTATTTTCAGTGATTATAATTTATGGCTGCTGTCTATATGCTGTCCATGTTTTGTGTCAACTTAACTGGATCATTGGGTACCCAGATATTTGGTCAAACATCATTCTGAGTGTTACTTTCAGGTGTTTTTGAATGAAATTAACATTTAAATCAGTAGACGGAGTAAGGTAGATTGCCCTCCTTAGTGTGAGTGGGCCTCATCCAATCAGTTGAAGGCCTGAGTAGAAGAAAAAGATTGACCCTCCCCCTGGTAGGAGAGAATTTTTTTCTGCCTCATTTACTTTAAACTGTGTCATCATCTTTTTCTTGCCTTTGAACTAAAATGGAAACACTGGCTCTTACTGGGTCTTGAGCCTACTGACCTGTAGACCGAAACTATGCAATTGGCTTTCCTTGCTCTCAGGTCTTTGTACTCAAACTGGAACTATACTGATATGGTTTCACTGTGTCCCCACCCAAATCTTATCTTGAACTGTAGCTCCCAGAATTCCCACATGTCATGGGAGGGATTTGGTGGGAGGTAATTGAATCATGGGAGCAGATCTTTTCTGTGTGTTCTCATGATGGTGAATAAGTCTCACAAGATCTGATGGTTTTATAAAGGGGAGCTTTCCTGTGCAAATTCTCTTCTCTTGTCTGCTGCCATGTGAGACATGCCTCTCACCTTCTGCCATGATTGTGAGGCCTCCCCAGCCACGTGGAACTGTGAGTCCATTAGAACTCTTTTCCCTTATAAATTACCCAGTCTTGGGTATGTCTTTATCAGCAGCATGAAAACGAACTAATACATATACCATTGGCTGTCTTGAGTCTTTAGATTGCGTATTTACCATGCAAATCCTGAGTGTTGCTAGTCTCCATAATCATGTGATATTTCTTATAATAAACATCTTTATAAACACTTGCACGCATGCACGCACACACACACACACACACACACACACACATCCTGTTGGTTTTGTTTCCCTGTAGAACTCTGACTAATGCACCATATATGGCCAATCCTGGAATGAGTGGAGATTTATATGTCTCTTGCCTAGACAGCTGAGTTAAAGGTCACAAGATATGTTTTAATTTTGTTGGTTCCTGCTAGGGGGATCCAGGCTTGCATTCCAGGTGTCATGCATTCAGGTGGCTAGTGTAATTTAGGAGGATTAGTCATAACTCCAGCCTGGGAAAGTGATAGCCATCATCTGTGCTAGTGGGATTTTGGGAATCATACTGGAAAAGAAAATATCAACCTTTTTCATTTTTTATTTATTTGAAATAAAGACCCTTTATTTCAAATTAATGTGGGGTCTTAAGTAATATTTTCCATGTCCCATTCAGATCAGGTTCTCAACCACAACTTCAGCTTCAAAAAATTTTTTTTAGTTTTAGATCCTTTGTAATTAGCCTATACATTGTTTCATATTGAATAAAAGCAAGATTTTATCTAATCTATTCTGATTTATTCAATGGGTCATAATCAAATTGTTCCCTAAAATTTTATCAATAAATATACAGAAAATTTTTATTTTCATACTATGTTATTTTTCTAATCTATGGATTTTTCCTCCTAATTAAATAGATTTTCTTTGCTCCAAATACCCATATAACACAGTTATACTTCCACTTTTGCTAATTTTAACAAAGAAAGGTCCTATACAATTTATTTGCCTTTAATTTTTTTTTTTTTTTTTTTTTTTGATACAGTCTCGCTCTGTCGCCCAGGCTGGAGTGCAGTGGCACTATCTCGGCTCACTGCAACCTCCACCTCCTGGGTCCATGCCATTCTCCTGCCTTGGCCTCCCGAGTAGCTGGGACTACAGGTGCCCGCCACCATGCCCAGCTATGTTTTTGTATTTTTAGTAGAGACAGGGTTTCACCATGTTAACCAGGACGGTCTCAATCTCCTGACCTAGTGATCCACCCGCCTCGGCCTCCCAAAGTGCTGGGATTACAGGAATGAGCCACCGCGCCTGGCCTGTCTGCATTTAATTTAATCACTTCATAGTGTTTGCCCTAATACACCCCTCTTTACTAATGAATTATTCTATTTTTAGGGAAGAGGATAGAGCAGGGAACTAACATTTCCAAACGTTATATTACAGATGACTCTTATATGACTAAGTTTGCCTTTTCAGCCATTAGGCCTGTTCAGCTTTTTATTTCTCTAAAATTTGCTATTTTCACAACTAATCAATCTCAATGACAATTACTGCAAGATATAAATTGTGGTTATTGAATAGAGAAATAAAAATTTTTGTGCAAATAAAGAGAGACTTCTTGGGAAATTAATTTTCACCATTTAGTTTGAATGATTATAGCTCTTTATTTACATTTCCTAAGCAATTACAGCCACTTGCGTGAGCAGTGATTCAGTTCCCACTCAATCATGATGAAAGGGAAAGCAAAATGGAAAAGAACAAGACTAAAATTCTGAAAATGGCAAGCCCCCATATTCTTCTCAGGCTTTTGGAGGTCTAAGGATGTGCATCTCTTGTCATCAGATGTAAACTGGGTAGCAGGATATGGGGATATGAAAGCTGTGCTGTGCCTTCCCAGAGGAAATCACAGCAGAGACTATTGAGCACAGAAATTAAGGGCCAGTAGAGATGGAAAGTCAACTTAGCTCTCAATAGCAACATACTCAAAGCTCCTGGGAACTGATAGATATTTGCTAGGACTCTTCCAAAAAGAAGTTTCTAGTAGAAGGGTAGAGTACCATCAAGATGTTACCGAGAGTGGCACTGTGACACGGGGCGAAGCTACAGGCTCTGTGTACAGATGTACCTGGGTTAGGCTTTGGTCTCAGCCACCTATGAGATGTTTGAGGTATCACAGCCTTCTCAAAATTCGAAATGTACACGAAACATCTGGGGACCTTGTTAAAATGTGAATTCTGACACAGTAGTTCTGTGGTGAGGCCCAAGATTTCACATTTCTAATAAGTTCCTAAAAATGCCAGTGCCTGCTTATCTGTAAACCACCCCCTGAGAAACAAGGGGCTAGGGCAAGCTACTTTATTTCTGATTTGGGTTATCTCCTCTGAAATTTAGAAATAGTGTCTAGTAGTGTCTAGAGTGTCTAATTAATCAAAGAATTGCAGCTCTAATTATAAAAGGTATATGCAAAGAATCTAGCATACAGCCTCACATACAGTAGGTGTTCCAGAAATTGTATTAATGTCGAACTTTTTCCCATTTAATCAGCTTCAAGTGTTTTGCCAATTAAAGCCAATGAGAAATTACACCTGTGACATTCCTAGTAGGTGTGCTAAGATTTGACTATCTAAGGAGGCTTTCGTGTTTTATACACATAATAGAGTTCATTTTTAAATTAATGACTAGTTAGGTACCTGAAGATTTATGGTTTTTTTTTTTAGACTAGTAGAGTATAATGTAAACTGGGAGGAAAAAAAGTATGAAACAAACAAAAGATAGAATTTTAACAATACTACCTAAAGAACTTTTTAAAAGAAAGAAATAAGACTGGCCAGGATTTTAGATGCATTCTGCACACAAATTGATACGCAATATATTTTAAAAAAAAACTTACTTGCAGTCAGGCTAAGCGGTGCTGACACTGAAGACTCAATGAAGCACCAGAATTGTTTCTAGATCCTCAGGCTATTTTTCTCTATTACAAAAATTCTTTGTTATTGCTTTCACATTTCAACAATCCAAGGTTTTACCCCTTTGTGCAATTTCTTTGGTAACTGTTTCTGATTTCATAAAGTTAGGATTTGAGATAATTAGGAGTTCTATTCTGGTGAAAGTACAGGAGTCCTGTAATTACCCACTGCATTCCACAGTAATTATCTACGCTTGTGCCATTTTTCCCTGTGGCCCAGCGGTCCTGCCTTATTGTGGTATGGTTTGTGCTTAAAATGTTCTCTGGGGAGGAAATGGCTATGAGGAAGCCTGCTCCCTTTCTCTGCAGGGGGTGAGAAGATTAATACAACATGTCCAGGTTACTCTGCCATCATTTTCCTTTCTGTGCACAGCTTGCAAATGGCTTTAACTTGAGTTGAAGGTTTTGTGAGCAGAAGAAAACCTTAGTCACAGAAGATGCACATGATAAAGTGATAAGAAGGTGTTTCAGACATAAAAAAATCTAAGAGTTATATTTTGTTTCCTTTAGTAGGTAGTTTTGAAAACTAAAGGGCAATAGGCTAAACTTTAAAATTGTTTGAGAAACAACTACACTCTTAAAAACCTGACTAGTAAGAGCAGCTTGTTTTCTTTACAGATAATCTTAAAGTAGAATAAATAGTTTTTAATTAATATGGCACCGCACACTCTTGCTAACTAGTTCAAAGCAATTTTGCATAAATGGGATTATCTACCTTTAAAACATACTTGGAATACAACTGCGGAAATGCCATTATTATCTCAATTTTGGATATATAGAAGAGAGAGACAAAATTTACGCTGGCAGCAAATTCCAGGATTAGATGCAGCAGATTTGACTTAGATGAATTTGTGCCCTGGATTCTTCTGTTGCCTCACATTCTTGTCAATGAAGAATGTTGGTACAGCTAAACATGAGATTTTCTTTTCATCTAAAAACTTTAACTCCCTTGATCCTACATGATGATCAAGAAATTAGATCAATTAACTGACAAATATTTAATCAGCATCTTCTATGTTCATCTTCATTGTGTCTGGTGTTGGAATAAAATGGGCAAGCAGCAAATCAACCATAGCTCCCATCCTCACGGAACCTGTGGTCTAGCAGGGTGAGAGAAATGCCAAATAATCACAGACTTGGAGCTCAGAAGCAAAAGTGGGCTGAAGACCTAGATTTTGGAATCATTAGTATGTAGCATAAATGTACCTGATAGCAATACTTTAAGCATACCCTCACAATGACCCTGTGCAGCAGATGCACTCGAATATGTGTTCCAAGCTAGGAAATCTGGGAGTGGCCAATCTGGAGATTTGTTCCTTATGTATGATAAACATCTGAACTGTCCAGCCTGTCCCATAGAACATGGGCCATACAGGGGAATAAGGTCCTGAGTTTTTGGGGTAAACAAAGGTTGCCAGGTGGAGGCTGTTAAGGGGAAAGTGTTAAGTCCAGCTTGTCCTATGGAACATGGGCCATACAGGGGAATGAGGTCCTGAGATTTTGGGGTAAGTGAAGGTTGCCAGGTGGAGGCTGTTAAGGGGAAAGTGTTAAGTGAAAATGCTATGTAAACTGCATATGTTTGCAGGCAGTTTTCCTGCCTAGCGTGCCACCACTGGGCTGTGCAGTTATATTGTCCATCCTACTGCCACTGGACTGTAGGAAAGTGGATACGTTCTCCAAGCCACCACCACTGTACTGTATGTAAGGTAGATACATTGTCCCGTCCACCATCACTGGACCATTTCTATACATAAAGTGGTTCTGTCCTGCCCACTGCCACTAGACTCTCTACTGTGTATGTAAGCCTCTAATAAAACTCAATGTCTCATTTGCTTTCTTTGGGTCTCTTCTTCAGCCTTTTGATCCTGGTGACTTCCCTACTGAGGTTAATAGGTCTTCGGGCCAACATAGTACAAATAGTAATTGAAGCTCTGGGTATGAATGAGATTGGGTAGACCAGTAGTCTTTAACCTTTAGTTGCATATTAGAATAACTTAGGGAGCTTTAAACCATTCTAAAGCTCAGCCTCTATCCTATTTCTAGTAACTCAGACTATTTCCTGGTGGTGGGCCTTGGCTTTGATAATTTTAAAAGCTTCCCAGTTAATTCTAATGGGAACTAAGAATTAAGAACTGCTGATTTAGAGAGGGGGAAAAATAGGCAGATTAAAAAAGAAGTTATGGGATGTGATGTCAGAAAGATGACTAACTAGAGGTGTCCGGTGTTTATGGCTCCCACTGAAAAAGGACCCAAACAATGAATAAACAACTTTATTTTAACTAGAGTATTTAAAGGAGAATGCTGGAGTACAGCAGTGGTCTGTTAGAGACCCTGTAGAACATAGAAACTCAGAATAGTCACACAGAGGAAGGAGAGAGGAGCCTTGCAGCTGACACCCTGTCTTCCCAGTGAAAAACAGCTCAGAACCAGGAGGGACTTCCCTGTACACAGAGAATGTAAGTGGGAGGCTCCTGGCAGCCTCCATTAATTCTGTCAACACCTACAGTTTTTGTTGCTGGGGAATCCTACAGTTCTTGCAAGTCCTGAGCCCAGTATGAGGAGCATCCAGGAGATTACACAGCTGTGTTGCTCCAGGGAAAAAGTCTATGTTGTGTCCCCTCCCCACTGTGACTCAAGCTGCTGCTGAATGGTGCCATCTTGAAACTGGAGCCACTGCTAGAGTGCATCCTTCTCTGCAGGACAGGAGCCACTGCATCTCCCCATCCTTAAGTCTCTGCCACCATTATGCCTTGTAGGACACCATTTCGCAGCTGAGCTACTATAGTTCCATACCCCCTAGGAATAAGCTGCCTTGGAGACACTCTAGCTTCTCTATCCCAGGGGCTACAGCATCCTGCTCTGGCTACATGGAGCCCAGGTCCAGTTAAATAGCCATAACTTTATAACTTTGATTCTTCACCCTCAGGGGAGCAGCACCTAAGCAGAGCCACCAGCCAAACAGTCCCTGACCTGCCTGAAGCACAAACCAGCCCTGTGCCTTGCCTTCAGGAGAGCAGCACCCAAGGAGATGAGCCAGCCACAAAAACTCTTGCAGCCTGTGCTACTGAGTCACTCACAGACATGGCTGACTTTGAGTATAGTTGAAGTTGCATGGAGGCTACACTATTGTACCCACCCAGAGCCAAAGCCAACACACCCTAACCAACTGACACCCTAGGAAGCATCTGCAGGTGAAAGGCTTCTTCCACAAACGGCACTTAAAAAATTGGAAGAGGTGACCATTCCATCAGATGCACAGATATTAATGCAGGAATACGAGAAACATGAAAAACCAAGGGAACATACCACCAAAGAAACACAGTTCTCTATTAACTGACCCTAAAGAAACTAAAATTTACAAATTGCCTGAAAGGAAATTAAAAATAATAATCTTACGGACACTCAGCAAGATACGAGAGAATACAGACAGACAATTTGATGAAATCAGAAAAACAATTCATGATCTAAGTGAGAAATTCAACAAAGACCTATAAAAAAAAGAGAAGCGAACAGGAATCTTACAGCTAATGAATTTAATAAATTTAATAATTTAATAAATGTTATTAATTAAATAACAAAATACAATTGAACAACAACAGATTAGATCAAGCAGAAGAAAGAATTTTTGAACTTGAAGAGAGGTCTTCTGAAATAACCCAGTCAGAGTGGGGAAAAAAGAATGAAAAGAGCAAAGAAAGTCTACAGGACTTATGGGACACTATTAAGTAAACAAACATTTGGCCTTTGTGGGAGTTCCAGAAGGAGAAGAGATGGACAAAGGCATAGAAAGCTTATTTAAGAAAATAATGGATAAAAACTTCCCAAACTTGGGAGAAATATGGGATTCAGATCCATTAAGCTGAAAGGATGCCAGCTAGATTAAATCTAAATAGTTACTCTTTGAAACACATTATAATCAAATTTTTTTTTTTTTTGAGATGGAGTCTCACTCTTCTTGCCCGGGCTGAAGTGCAATGGCATGATCTCGGCTCACTGCAACCTCCGCCTCCTGGGTTCAAGCAATTCTCCTGCCTCAGCCTCCCAAGTAGCTGTGATTACATGCATGCATCACCACGCTCAGCTAATTTTTGCATTTTTAGTAGAGATGGGGTTTTACCATGTTGGTCAGGCTGGTCTTGAACTCCTGACCTCAGGTGATCCACCTGTTTCGGCCTCCCAAAGTGCTGGGATTACAAACGTGAGCCATCATGCCTGGCCCAAACTTTCAAAAGTCAAGACAGAATTGTAAAAGCATCGAGAGAAAAGTCTCAAGTCACATATCAGGGAATCCCTATTATACTATTATCAGCTTTCTCAGCAGAAACCTTGTAGGTTAGGAAAGAATGGGATGATATATTTAAAATGCTGAAAGAAATAAACTGCAAGCCTAGAATATTATAACCAGCAAATCTTTTTGTCAGAAATGAAGGAGAAATAAAGTCTTTCCCAGATTAAAAAAACCTGAAAGAATTCGTCATTACTAACCAAGTCTTTTAAGAAATGCTTAAGGGAGTGCTTCAGCTAGAAGCAAAAGGACAATAATCACTATCATAAAGACATGTAGAAGTTTAAATCTCACTGATAGATGTAAATTTATTACCAAATTTAGAATACTCTATTTCTGCTGGTAGTATATAATCTTTCAAATCTCCAGGATGAGAATGAAAAGTCAAGATTGTCAACAATCACTATAGCTACAATAAGTTGTTAAGGAACACACAGAATAGAAAATATGTAAATTAAGGCAACACAATTTTAAATGGTAGCAGGGAGGGAAAATGTCTACAGTATTTAATATGACCAAAGTTAAGTTGTTATCAGTAATGATAAGAATTTTTACAGAAGGCCCCATAGTAACCAAATTTCCACCCATTTCAGCAGATACACAAATGAGAAAGAGAAAGGAATCAAAGCTTGTCACTACAGAAAACCACCAACCAAAAAGGTAAGCAATAAGAGAGGAAGAAAGGAACAGAGGATATACAAAAGAATCAGAAAACAATTTTTAAAATGGCAGGGGTAAGTCCTTACTTGTCAATAATAACTTTGAATGTAAATGGATTAAGTTCTTCAAGAATTAGGATGACAAACCAGTGTCCTAGTTCCCAGCATTATGACTGTTTTGATGGCTGTGGAGTTGGAATGGGGTACTATTGAACTTTGATCAGTAAAGGGTCAAAACAGCTCTGGATGCCTGAGGTCAGGAGTTCGAGACCAGTCCGGCCAACATGGTGAAACCCCATCTCTACTAAAAATGCAAAAAAAAAAAAAATATATTAGCCTGGCATGGTGGCATGCGCCTGTAATCTCAGCTACGTGGGAGGCTGAGGCAGGGGAATTGCGTGAACCAGGGAGGTGGAGGTTGCAGTGAGCCAAGATAGCACCACTGCACTCCAGCCTGGGGGACAGAGCAAGACTCCATGTCAACAAACAAATACATAAATAAAAATGAAAATAAACAGCCCTGGGAAGGCATTTCTGTATTTGACTGTTTCTGCTCTTCTACTAAGGAAGACAACTGGACTTGTACCATCTGATTATAGCACACATTTTTCCCTAATGTGTTCCCTTAGGCTTCACATTTCAGATTTTATACCCATACACAAAAGACCTTGGGTTTTTTTATATTTCAGGATTAATAGGTATTGTTACATAAGTACAAAATCCACAGTGAGACACAATTCATATCTCAATTTAAAGAACTACATATTCAATTCAATAAGTATCTTTTATTCTGAATGTTTACCACTATAATAAGTTCAGGGAGTGGAGAGGGAAAGGAGAAGGGAGGGAAATCTGACTCCCACTCTCAAGCGTACAGTACTGATTAAATACCAAATAGGTGCTGCCTTTCACAGCAAATAGTGTTAGAAGAGTTATAATATACATAAAGAAGGCACTTTTTTCTGTGCCATGGAATCAACTCAATTCAGAAGGGCAGAGGTGATGTGTCCATCTTTCACTTTGGGCATAACAGAAGGTTTAAAGCCTCCTTTCATCTCCTAAAATAGCCTGACTTCCTTCCTTCCTCTGTGTACCACTTTGCATTATCCCATAACGAAGGATAGTCTCCTTCTGACCACTGCGCTCTAGGATTCCATTATTTTGATCAAGCGTCTCTCCAAACTATTCCTTCTGAGACGGAATGATTCTCTCTTTTACTTGGGATTCCATCTCACAGAAGTCCCAGAATTTTATGTAAATCCACTCTAGAATGTATTCATTCTTCTTAGTTGCTCTTCTCTCTACAGCAGGTCTTGATATTTTCTGATTAGATGGGATCAGCAGATTTCCTCTGAGATGTGAGTGGTCAGACACCCAGTTGTCAGGCAAACTGAAGGAGAGAGACAGAGCCCTAGTGGATGGCTAGTTCTGGCATTCATAGTGAAAGTTGGACAACAGAGTCTAGGAAAAGCTGTATACCTCCGTCTCCTTGTCCACCTTGCCGTGCATCAAGCTGAGTACTTTACATGCACTGTACCATTGAATTCTCTCATCACCCCTTTAAAAGTGTTCTCTTACATATTCTACCTTAAAGATGAGCAAGATGAAGTTCATGACACAGAAGTAATTTGCCACCATCCCGTAACTTCTACATTGCAGAACTTAGATTCGAGCTGTGCTTGACTCCAGAGTACATTGTATATGCTACAGTCAAAATACATGTCAAGTCAATATCCAGAGACCTAGTTTGAACAGAAAGGCAAAAGAGGAGTCTGATGTTGAAGTCAGATGTAGGAAACAGAATCTGTGACTGATATTTGTGTAGCAAAATCTAGCACAGGTGGACAGATGACGCCATACAATTAGAACACGTCTATTTTATATTTAACACAAAGTTTTTTCTCCTTACAAATTGAGAACATCTTTATAATATTACCCTTTCATTCAAATATTGCAGAAACAAGCAGGACAGATACATACATCTCACTCACATTGCTTTTGGTAAAAATGATGTATTTGGGTTTGTAGTGAGTATAGCTTAAGGCATAGGAAGAGGGTAATAAAAAATAATGACACTTGGCTCTAAATAAAGAATGATAAAGTGGGCTTTCCTAAATAATTCTTTTTGTGATTACTTCGAAGAGCCCACTTACAGGAAGAGTGTCTTGGCAATAATCATCCTGTAATTTATTACTCTTCAATTCTTGAAATATTTCTGTGACTATTTCTGCTTGCTAAGCTTTCTTCAAATGTAGGTTTTTCTATCCTAAACCAAATATAGGTATCTTCTTTGGCAGTGACTAGAATGTGCTGTCATTAATAAACATAACCCAGTTAAGTTGCAAAGTACTAGGACCTATTAGGTATGTCTTATATAGACCAAATGATTTTATTCCTATCAGCCTTCGTAGTCATGTCCCAATTAGTGGAAGATATATTGAGTCCCATGAAAATGACCTTTAGAATATATTGCATTCTTATATGGAAGTCTCTGCCCTTAAGGGGTTCACAGTTTATTCATTACAGCACATTTGTATATAATACAATTTCTTGCCTTTGTATTGTACATCAGCATTCAATACTTGTTTAGCACATTGTAAAAATCTATTATGGGGATATAAGGGAAACAAAAGAGTCATTGGTTATTTTTATCTGGTTATGATCCAGTTGTATATGCCACGATAACTCAGTGATTTTTCTAGACCGTTGCAAACTATCGTCCCTGACATTCAAGGACTCACTGGAGAATTTTTTTTCCTGACAACCCATGGAGGAACATATATATTCCTCTTATCTGATCTCTAAATTGGAATTCCATCATAAGATCTTATTTGTTGAAAAAAAACTACTGTAAAAATCTCTGAAGCCCAGTGACATAAATCCTGTTTCCCCAGATTATTATGGTAGTTCATGTGGAACCCATTTAAAAATGTATTTTTCAAAAACAGATGACAATAATCATTTCCTATTTGCCTAGAATATTCATTTTATTATAGAAAAGACATTATTATTTTTCCAATAATTAAATGCTATGAATTATGTGAAAGAAGTAAGAGAAAAGATCCTGATTTTAGAGGCACACATTCCAAAGAGACAAGCTACATAATTTTTCCCCTATGAAGGTCTAATATACTTCTCTAAAATAAGGATCAGCAATCCTTTTCTGTAAAGAATCAGAAAGTAAGTATTTTAGGCTTTGTGACCTGTATAGTCTCTGCCACAACTACTCAACTCTGCCATAGTAGCATGAAAGCAAAGTGGTCGTTAGACAGTAGCAAATGGGCATGGCTGAAATTGGTCTGCAGGCTGTAGTCTGCCAGCCCCTGTTCTAAAAGATCAATGTTAATGTTAATGAACATATATAGAATATATTAGAAACAAGCAGCCGTATTTAGTAATAATATCTATCCCCCCCCCCCAACAAAACACTAGAAGACAGAAATGCTAGAAGATTTTAACGATTACACCTAGAATTTTAGGGAATAGTTCACTGTTATGTTTGGTTGTCTTGTGATTTTAGGCTATATGCTTTTACAGTTTCAAAGATATTTGTTCATATCTACATAATACTTTGCATATTAATTACAAATTTGAGGATTTTTGAATTAGTTTTGAAATTCATTTTCATTTCTTCCTTAGCTATCACTGATAAATTTTGTCCACACTGACATTATGCCCAGAGTTTACTTGGGTGATTATCAATAAAGAGTCTATAATTTTCTAGTCACAGATAAAACTCTCTAGAAAGTAGTTCTTATAATTTGTTTCAAATGTATTTTGATTATGGTAATGTCTTTAATTCATTTTACATGATGGACAGAGAGGTAGTGTTTTTACATAGACGTTCAATTTTCTTGTTTTTTAAATGTTAAATTTACAGGGTCAATGGAAAGTCATTTTCCTCTTCAATGTTTTATTTTATTTACATCAGATATACATATTTCCTATCACTTCAAGTATTTTCAATGAGTAGTTGCAACATCTCAAAAGTATATCATCATGACCATAGTAGAGGACTTAAAAGCTTATTGACAATTACAGGAGCTAAAACATTACTTTCTAGTACATTTCAGAATTACCAGGAAAAAGTATAACAAAGAGCAAACTTTCTCATGCACTCTTCATTTACTAGAAGGCATTAGGTAATACGTAGAATATTAAAGAAGATATGTACTCACAACATTTTAAAATTACTATTTCTTTCTGTAATAACATTAACTGCAAATGAACTATTTTCATGCACCAATAAAAAGAGCACATGCCATCGCCCTTCTCATTAAATAGTATAAGGAATGACCTGGCCATGATGCCTTTACTCAATGCCATACAGAGCAAGACCGTGGATATAGGTTGGTACAAGTTATTGTGGTTTTTGCCATTACTTTTAATGGCATTTCTTAGAGACTGCTCTCCAGTTAGGAGTCTCAGAAAGTTATTAGGCTGGTACAAGTTACACCAATTTATTGTGCAAAAACCATAAAAACAAATGGCATTAAAAGTAATGGTAAAAACCACAATAACTTTTGTACCAGCTAACACCTTTCTTAGATACTGCTGAATGGGGAGTTGTAAGCTATGTACAGCTTAAAGATGGATTTAGTTTGGCTTGCATGATGTTTTATTGACATGTTATGACTTGAAATCAGATGATTTGAAAAGCAGATGATTTAAAAGGTGAATCTAGTACAAAAGACTTGAAATTCTGCATGGCCATGATGAGAATGAGCTAAGTTTCTGTTTCTTTCATAGTCCCTGCCATTCATACATTGCGTGCCCTGATTCTAATGTCTATTCCTCACAACTCATTAAGTCTTCGACCTGATCCTGTAGGCATACATGTGCTCAGTCCCTCATCCATGTCCAAAGCAGAGATGATCCGTTAATTCTGCATCAGCTGCTTCCTTACTCAGCCCCAGCACCCCTCACTGATCTATTTGTTGGGCTGTTCTCATTGAATGCTTACTATTTGTCGGCACGGTGGAAGGATGCTCTTCCCAAGGCCATGAGAGAAGCATTGTCATTACCCATAATTTACAGAGGTAGACTGAGGTACTTGGTGACCAAGCAACATGCCCAAGGTAACCTAGGGAATAAGAGGGGTTGCCATTCCAGGCTGGAAGCCACAGTAATAATAATCTTAGCCAAAATGGGAAATAAGAGTTTCTGGTTTTCAGTCATTTGTTATTAGAGAGCTACCTTCTCAAGTCCCTAAAGCTATGCAGTTTTACTTTCTGTTAACACTGATTCCACAGGGAATGTTGTTTGTAGAACTTTTATTTTAATCGAAGTAATGTAGACACATAGTTTAGAAATAATATCTCCAGTCCATACTACTCTGTGGAAGTTGCCTCTGATATTTACCTATAGGTTTCTAAAGAATATACATTTATTTCTTCATTTATGGATTTTAATCACTGACTTGCTTTTCTGGTGGTTGAGGATTTAAGCTCTTACTGCACCTCAGTCTCATTTCTTTCTTCCAGTTTCCCAATATAATTCTATCATATTTTAAATTACAATGTTTATATTTTTATGATAATAAATATTGCTCACTAATAACTTACTGGACTAGGATCACATTTTCATTTCTCTTACAATATTTTCCTTCCACATCCTTGGGGGTAATAGTGGGTGTTATTTATTTGCTTAGTTTTCTATTTATTTAGTTTCCTATAAATTTTCTTTTCTTTTCTGGGGCAGGGTCTCGCTGTGTTGCCCAGGCTGGACTTGAACTCCTGGGCTCAAGTGATCCTCCTGCTATAGCCTCTGGAGTAGCTGGGATTACAGACACATACCACTGTGCCCAGCTGTATTTTTTTTTTTTTGATGGTCCACCAAATCTTTAAACATTGATGAACTTTTCGCAAATGCTTAAACACACAAAACAACCTCTCACTCCAACTTATTCACCCCACTGCAGAATTCTTTCCTGTAGTTGTCTGCTTGGTTCTCTAATCTAGACTGGTTGCTCTGTAGTTTGGTGCAGAGTTCTCAAACTCAATAAAATTGACCCTTGAGCAGTGTGGGGGTTAGGGGAACCAATTTCCGGTGCAGTAAAAAAACCCATGTGTAACTTTTGACTCCCTAAAACTTAACTACTAATAACCTATTGTTGACCAGAAGCCTTACAGTGAACATAAACACTAAATCAATACAAATTTATGTTATAGGTATTATATACTATACTCTTACAATAAAGTAAGCTAGAGAAAAGAAAATGTTATTAAGAATATCATAAGGAAGAGAAAATATATTTACTATTCATTAAGTGGAAGTGGATTATTATAAAGATCTTCATCCTTGTTGTCCTCAAGTTGTGTAGGCTGAAGAGGAGAAAGGGGAGGAGTTGGTCTCACTGTCTCGGGGGTGGCAGAGGTGGGAAAAAACCCTCATATAAGTTCAAGGGTCAACTGTACTTTTTACATCCAGAAAAAGTTTTGTATCTTTGACCTGGATTCTGTGTCTTCCCCTTTCTTGGTTTATTCCCTCATTTTGGTGAAGCAAACATCTTTGAAGCTTCCTAGAAAAGTGTGTATGGCAATATTTTTTTTTTTAGTTATTGAATGTTTAAAAATGCATGTTTTTTGTATGCTCACACTTACTTTTTAGTCTAGGTTGAGGTCTATGTTGGAAAGTGTGCTCTTAGAATTTTGAAATTATTGTTCCTGCTGTCTTCTATTGTTTAATGTTGCTGTTAGCCATCCAGTGCCATTATAATGCCTGTTTCTTTGCATATGACTCCGTATTCCCCCAGCCCAGCTTATAGGTTTTTGGATCTTTCACCCTGTTCTGAAATTTAACAGAGTGTGTTTGTATGGGTCTTTTAATCTGTCAAAGAGGTAGACAGTGGGGCTTTCAATACAAGGACTTATATCTTTTAGCCCTGGAAAATTTCTCTTGATTTTGTTTTTGATAACTTTTTTCCTCTGATTTTTTTTCCATTCTGGAACTCTTATTTAGATTTTACCCCCCTTGGTATAATTTTCTAATTTTCCTTATTTTTCTATCCTATTTTCAGTGATTATCTTGATCATGTATCTGAATCTTTCTATCAAAATCCTTGTTTTGTCATATTTTAAAAAACCATTGTTCTTTCTTGTGTAGTGCTTTTTTTCCCCCATTCATCCCTATTCTGGTTTCATAGGCATGATGTATTTTCTTACTTTTCCAAGGATATTATTATAGGCTTCTCTCTCTCTCTCTCTTCTAAATAAAAATAGAGATGGGATCTCACTATGTTGGCCAGGCTGATTTTGAACTCCTGGCCTCAAACGATTCTCAGCACTTTAACCTCCCAAAGTGCTGGGATAATAGGCATGAGCCACTGTACCCAGCTGGCTCTTCTCTTTTGAAATTTTCGTCTCCTTCATTCATAGTCATCATGTCTTTCAGGTCCCCCACTTTTTTTTTTCTCTTTATTTTGGCCTTCCTCCCTCAAGTTGAATCCTTTTCCTAAATGTCTTATGGCTCCTTATCTGCCCATTCATAATTAATAGCAAAATACTAAAAAGCATGTTGGATGATCTGCAACTGGAGGTGAGGTGTTTTGCCTGGTGAGCTTCATTGCAGCGAGATGAAGTAGCTTGCCAACCTTGAGGACCACCATGCATGTGAGGTAGTTCTGTTTCTTCAAAAAAGAATTATCCAGTCTCCTGCACACAGTCATAGTTGTTCTGGAAGCAGGACTGGGGAAAGAGGATGAGATCCCAGTATTCATTATGGAAACATTCTCTCAAGTTCCTTGTTTTTAACTTGCCACCTCATTCCAGTCTTGACTATTGCCTGGAGTCCCTGGACACAAAGAATAAACTTCTGATCTCCTGGGAGGGCTATGGGGATCAGATGTGGACAGAGAAAGCTTTCTCTAGCCAGGTACCTGGCTGAATACATAGTTGGTAGATTCAGACATTTTCCTTTTCATAGGGTTGAACCTCAGGTATCAGTTGGGCTGCCATATCAGTGAATTATGGTAATTAAGGTAGAACCAATTTTAGAGCATAAATATTAGAATTTATTGTTATATAATCATGACTTTTGTGTAGAACCATTTAACTATAGCTATGTCTTTGGAAAACTTAAGTTCATTTTTTGTAATCAACATGAAAGAGAAGTACAGCACTACATGATCATGGATGCTGACTCTGCCATACTTACCACTAAATTTTTAAACAGTTTTGTATTTACCTGTGTTTTATTTATTTTGCTTTGCTTTGTCTGGAAACAGAATGATCATAAACTTTGACTAAACGAGTTAAACTATTATATTCTAATTAATTAAAATGAAAAGTGCTAACATAGAAATAAACCTGTCAATTGTACTTTTGGGGTGGAAAATGATTTTATGTACTTGAAATATTCACCACATGGAAATAAGTTAATACTTTATGCTACTCACATACGACACAAAAAAGCTATGCCTCCTACAATTATTTCAAGGTTTTTCTATTAATAAGCTATCTCCAGTTTCATAATGAAAATGCAAGAATTCTATTCCTCATTCCTACTAGGCATTGACAAGCCTCCCTTTAGACACCATCACCCACATCCATGCTCTCCAAGAACTTGTTAATTGCATCTGAATTATGTGACCAGTGGGAGTCCTTAAATATGAATAAAAAGTTTCTTTAGATATGTATTTTTTCAAAAGGAAGAGGTATAATTCTAAATCTTATCATAACAAGGGTAAGAATAATGTTACTTTCATAATGAATTCAACCTAATGAAATTAAAACTATGAAAATTGTTTACCAAAAGACATAAAAATGTATTTCAGTAGAAGTATTAGGAAGATCTACCTTTACGGCAAAATTGTGTGTACCAAATGTATTCATTTTCTTTTTTTTATTATACTTTAAGTTCTAGGGTACGTGTGCACAAAGTGCAGGTTTGTTACATATGTATACGTGTGCCATGTTGGTGTGCTGCACCCATTAACTTGTCATTTACATTAGGTATTTCTCTTAATGCTATCCCTCCCCTCTCCCCCCACTCCATAACAGGCTCGCTGCGTGATGTTCCCCGCCCTGTGTCCACATGTTCTCATTGTTCAATTCGCACCTATGAGTGAGAACATGCAATGTCTGGTTTTCTGTCCTTGCGATAGTTTCCACAGAATGATGGTTTCCAGCTTCATCTACTTCCCTACAAAGGACATGAACTTATCCTTTTTTATGGCTGCATAGTATTCCATGGTGTATATGTGCCACATTTTCTTTATCCAGTCTATCATTGTTGGACATTTGGGTTGGTTCCAAGTCTTTGCTATTGTGAATAGTGCCACAATAAACATACCTGTGCATGTGTCTTTATGGCAGCATGATTTATAATCCTTTGGGTGTATACCCAGTAATGGGATGGCTGGGTCAAATGGCATTTCTAGTTCTAGATCCTAGAGGAATCGCCACACTGTCTTCCACAATGGTTGAACTAGTTTACTGTCCCGCCAACAATGTAAAAGTGTTCCTATTTCTCCATATCCTCTCCAGCACCTGTTGTTTCCTGACTTTTTAATGATTGCCATTCTAACTGGTGTGAGATGGTATCTCATTGTGGTTTTGATTTGCATTGCTCTGATGGCCAGTGATGATGAGCATTTTTTCATGTGTTTTTTGACTGCATAAATGTCTTCTTTTGAGAAGTGTCTGTTCATATCCTTTGCCCACTTTTGATGGGTTTGTTTGATTTTTTCTTGTAAATTTGTTTGAGTTCTTTGTAGATTCTGGATATTAGCCTGCTGCCAGATAGATAGATTGCAAAAA
The DNA here is from genome assembly GCF_000001405.40 of Homo sapiens. NCBI lineage: Eukaryota > Metazoa > Chordata > Mammalia > Primates > Hominidae > Homo > Homo sapiens. The sequence goes on along the minus strand of NC_000012.12, from coordinate 39,212,964 downwards.
TTTTCTCCCATTTTGTAGGTTGCCTGTTCACTCTGATAGTAGTTTCTTTTGCTGTGCAGAAGCTCTTTAGTTTAATTAGATCCCATTTGTCAATTTTGGCTTTCATTGCCATTGCTTTTGGTGTTTTAGACATGAAGTCCTTGCCCATGCCTATGTCCTGAATGGTATTGCCTAGGTTTTCTTCTAGGGTTTTTATGGTTTTAGGTCTAACATGTAAGTCTTTAATCCACATTGAATTAATTTTTGTATAAGGTGTGAGGAAGGGATGCAGTTTCAGCTTTCTACATATGGCTAGCCAGTTTTCCCAGCACCATTTATTAAGTAGGGAATCTTTTCCTTATTGCTTGTTTTTCTCAGGTTTGTCAAAGATCAGATGGTCGTAGATGTGTGGTGTTATTTCTGAGGGCTCTGTTCTGTTCCGTTGGTCTATATCTCTGTTTTGGTACCAGTACCATGCTGTTTTGGTGACTGTAGACTTGTAGTATAGTTTGAAGTGAGGTAGCGTGATGCCTCCAGCTTTGTTCTTTTTGCTTAGGATTGCCTTGGCAATGCAGACTCTTTTTTGGCTCCATATGAACTTTAAAGTAGTTTTCTCCAATTCTGTGAAGAAAGTCATTGGTATCTTGATGGGGATGTCATTGAATCTATAAATTACCTTGGACAGTATGGCCATTTTCATGATATTGATTCTTCCTATCCATGAGCATGGAATGTTCTTCCATTTGTTTGTGTCCTCTTTATTTAGTTGAACAGTGGTTTGTAGTTCTCCTCAAAGAGGTCCTTCACATCACTTGTAAGTTGAATTCCTAGGTATTTTATTCTTTTTGAAGCAGTTGTGAATGGGAGTTCACTCATGATTTGGCTCTCTGTTTGTCTGTTGTTGGTATATAGGAATACTTGTGATTTTTGCACATTGATTTTGTATCCTGAGACTTTGCTGAAGTTGCTTATCAACTTAATGAGATTTGGGCTGAGATGATGGGGTTTTCTCAATATACAATCATGTCATCTGCAAACAGGGACAATTTGACTTCCTCTTTTCCTAATTGAATACCCTTTATTTCTTTCTCCTGCCTGATTGCCCTGGACAGAACTTCCAACACTATGTTGAATAGGAGTGGTGAGAGAGGGCATCTCTGTCTTGTGCCAGTTTTCAAAGGGAATGCTTCCAGTTTTTGCCCATTCAGTATGATATTGGCTGTGGGTTTGTCATAAATAGCTCTTATTATTTAGAGACACATCCCATCAATACCTAGTTTCTTGAGAGTTTTTAGCATGAAGGGCTGTTGAATTTTGTTGAAGGCCTTTTCTGCATCTATCGAGATAATCAAGTGGTTTTTGTCTTTGATTTCATCTTATATGATGGATTACGTTTATTGATTTGTGTATGTTGAACCAGCCTTGCATCACAGGGATAAAGCCCACTTGATCGTGAGATAAGCTTTTTGATGTGCTGCTGGATTCGGTTTGCCAGTATTTTATTGAGGATTTTTGCATCGATGTTCATTAGGGATATTGGTCTAAAATTCTCTTTTTTTGTTGTGTTTCTGCCAGGCTTTGGTATCAGGATGATGCTGGCCTCATAAAATGAGTTAGGGAGGATTCCCTCTTTTTCTATTGACTGGAATAATTTCAGAAGGAATGGTACCAGCTCCTCTTTGTAGCTTTGGTAGAATTTGACTGTGAATCCATCTAGTCCTTGACTTTTTTTGCTTGGTAGGCTGTTAATTATTGCCTCAACTTCAGAGCCTGTTATTGGTCTATTCAGAGATTCAACTTCTTCCTGGTTTAGTTTTTGGAGGGTGTATGTGTCCAGGAATTTATCCATTTCTTCTAGATTTTCTAGTTTATTTCACAGAGGTGTTTATAGTATTCTCTGATGGTAGTTTGTGTTTCTGTGGGATTGGTGGTGGTATCCCCTTTATCATTTTTTATTGCATCTATTTGATTCTTCTCTCTTTTCTTCTTTATTAGTCTTGCTAGTGGTCTATCTATTTTGTTGATCCTTTCAAAAAACCAGCTCCTGGATTCATTGATTTTTTGAATGGTTTTTTGTGTCTCTATTTCCTTTAGTTCTGCTCTGATCTTAGTTGTTTCTTGCCTGCTGCTAAGTTTTCAATTTGATTGCTCTTGCTTCTCTAGTTCTTTTAATTGTGATGTTAGGGTATCAATTTTAGATCTTTCCTGCTTTCTCTTGTGGGCATTTAGTGCTATAAATTTCCCTCTACACACTGCTTTAAATGTGTCCCAGAGATTCTGATATGTTGTGTCTTTGTTCTCAATGGTTTCAAAGAACATCTTTATGTCTGCCTTCATTTCATTATTTACCCAGTAGTCATTCAGGTGCAGGTTGTTCAGTGTCCATGTAGTTGTGCAGTTTTGAGTGAGTTTCTTAATCCTGAGTTCTAATTTGATTACACTGTGGTCTGAGACACAGTTTGTTGTGATTTCTGTTCTTTTACATTTGCTGAGGAGAGCTTTACTTCCAACTATGTGGTCAATTTTGGAATAAGTGTGATGTGGTGCTGGGAAGAATGTATATTCTGTTGATTTGGGGTGGAGAGTTCTGTAGATGTCTATTAGGTCTTCTTGGTGCAGAGCTGAGTTCAATTCCTGGGTATCCTTCCTAACCTTCTGTCTCATTGATCTGTCTAATATTGACAGTGAGGTGTTAAAGTCTCCCATTAATATTGTGTGGGAGTCTAAGTCTCTTTTTAGGTCTCTAAGGACTTGCCTTATGAACCTGGGTGCTCCTGTATTGGGTGCATATATATTTAGGATAGTTAGCTCTTCTTGTTGAATTGATCCCTTTACCATTATGTAATGGCCTTCTTTGTCTCATTTGATCTTTGTTGGTTTAAAGTCTGTTTTACCAGAGACTAGTATTGCAACCCCTGCTTTTTTTTGTTTTCCATTTGCTTGGTAGATCTTCCTCCATCCTTTTATTTTGAGCCTATGTGTGTCTCCGAACGTGAGATGGGTCTTCTGAATACAGCACACTGATGGGTCTTGACTCTTTACCCAATTTGCCAGTCTGAATCTTTTAATTGGCACATTTAGCCCATTTACATTTAAAGTTAATACTGTTATGTGTGAATTTGATCATATCATTATGATGTTAGCTGGTTATTTTGCTCGTTAGTTGATGCAGTTTCTTCTTAGCATCAATGGTCTTTACAATTTGGCATGTTTTTGCAGTGGCTGGTACCGGTTGTTCCTTTCCATGTTTAGCACTTCCTTCAGGAGCTCTTGTGAGGCAGGTCTGGTGGTGACAAAATCTCTCAGCATCTGCTTGTTTGTAAAGGATTTTATTTCTCCTTCACTTGTGAAGCTTAGTTTGGCTGGATATGAAATTGTGGCTTGAAAATTCTTTTCTTTAAGAATGTTGAATATTGGACCCCACTCTCTTCTGGCTTGTAGAGTTTCTGCCGAGGGATCTGCTGTTAGTCTGATGGGCTTCCCGTTGTGGGTAACCCAACCTTTCTCTCTGGCTGCCCTTAACATTTTTTCCTTCATTTCAATCTGGGTGAATCTGACAATCATGTGTCTTGTGGTTGCTCTTCTCAAGGAGTATCTTTGTGGTGTTCTCTGTATTTCTTGACTTTGAATGTTGGCCTGTCTCGCTAGGTTGGGGAAGTTCTCCTGGATAATGTCCTGAAGGGTGTTTTCCAACTTGGTTCCATTCTCCCCATCACTTTCAGGTACACCAATCTAATGTAGATTTGGTCTTTTCACATAATCCCATATGTCTTGGAGGCTTTGTTCATTTCTTTTTACTCTTTTTTCTCTAAACTTCTCTTCTCACTTCATTTCATTCATTTGATCTTCTATTACTGATACCCTTTCTTTCACTTGATTGAATTGGCTACTGAAGCTTGTGCATGCATCACATAGTTCTCATGTCATGGTTTTCACTCCATCAGGTCATTTAACGTCTTCTCTATGCTGTTTATTCTAGTTCGCCATTCATCTAATCTTTTTTCAAGGTTTTTAGCTTCCTTGCGGTGGGTTTGAACATCCTCCTTTAGCTAGGATAATTTGTTATTACCAGCCTTCTGAAGCCTACTTTTGTTAACTCATCAAAGTCATTTTCCATCCAGCTTTGTTTCATTGCTGGCAACGAGCTGCGATCCTTTGGAGGAGAAGAGGCGCTCTGGTTTTTAGAATTTTCAGCTTTTCTGCTCTGGTTTCTACTCATCTTTGTGGGTTTTATCTACCTTTGGTCTTTGATGTTGGTTACCTACAGATGGGGTTTTGGTGTGGATGTCCTTTCTGTTGATGTTGATGCTATTCCTTTCTGTTTGTTAGTTTTCCTTGTAACACTCAGGACCCTCAGCTGCAGGTCTGTTGGAGTTTGCTGGAGGTCCACTCCAGACCCTTTTTGCCTGGATATCACCAGTGGAGGCTGCAGAACAGCAAATATTGCTGCCTAATCCTTCCTCTGGAAGCTTCGTCTCAGAGGGGCACTGGCTGTATGAGGTGTCAGTTGGCCCCTAGTGGCAGGTATCCCCCAGTTAGGCTACACAGGGGTCAGGGACCCACTTGAGGAGGCAGTCTGTCTGTTCTCAGAGCTCAATCTCCATGCATGGAGGACCACTGCTCTCTTCAGAGCTGTCAGACAGGGACGTTTAAGTCTGCAGACGTTTCTGCTGCCTTTTGTTCAGCTATACCCTGCCCCCAGAAGTGGAATCTACAGAGGTAGGCAGGCCTCATTGAGCTGCAGTGAGCTCCACCCCGTTTGAGCTTCACTGCTGCTTTGTTTACCTACTTAAGCCTCAGCAATGGCAGACTCCGCTCCCACAGCCCATGCTGCCACCTCACAGTTTGATCTCAGACTGCTACATTAGCAGTGAGCAAGGCTCTGTGGGCATGGGACCTGCCAAGCCAGGCACAGGATAAAATTTCCTGGTGTGCTGTTTGCTAAGACCATTGGAAAAGCACAGTATTTGGGCAGGAGCATCCTGATTTTCCAGGTACCATCTGTCATGGCTTCCCTTGGCTAGGAAAGGGAAATCCCCTGACTTCTTACACTTCCCAGGCAAGATGAGGCCCCGCCCTGCTTTGACTCACCCTCCGTGGGCTGCACCCACTCTCCAACCAGTCCCAATGAGATGAACCAGGTACCTCAGTTGGAAATGCAGAAATTACCCATCTTCTGCCTCGATCTCACTGGGAGCTGCAGACCAGAGCTGTTCCTATTCGGCCATCTTGGAATGATCCACCCACATGTATTACTTTTCTAGGGTTGCCACAACAAAGTATGAGAGACTGGGTGGTTTAAAAAATGGAAATTAATTTTCTCACAATTCTGAAGCCTACAAAGTCCAAGATCAAACTCTCAGCAGGGTTGATTTTTTTAGGGCCCATCCCTCTTTCGTTTACAGATGACCATTTTCTCTTTGTATCTTACCATTGTCTTCCCTCTATATGTGTCTGTGTCCAAATTTTCTCTTCTTATGGAAACACCAGTCCTACTGAATTTGGGCCTACTATAATGACTTCATTTTAACTTCATTACTCCTTTAACCTATATTCAAATCGAGTTACATTCTGAGATACCGGGGTTAGGATTTTGACATATGAATTTTGGATGGAAACGCAATTCAATCCATAATATCAGGATTACAAGAGGAGCCACTAACCGTCAGTGTATCCATTCCTCAACTTTTCTCAAAAGGTCAACAGGTATTTGGATTGAATCTGACAGTCAAAACAATAGATTGATAAGTTGTGGGTAGACATTGCCCAATTCAGATATAAGCTACATAATCAGATTTAACCAGATATGGAGCTGTGGTATTTGCTCAACACACATACTGACAAAAGTGTAGGGAAGTAGTTACATGGAATTCCACCACGTGTTAAGCACAGCACTTTCATATATATATTTATTATCTGTCTAAATTCAGCAATCCTATGATAAGCATTTCAGAGATGAGTGGCCTGAAGTCAGAGTTGGTAATTTTCCCAAATTAGCACTGCTATAAAATGGTGAAGCTTGGGTTTGAATCTCTGTCTGATTCCAAAGACCATATCCTTTCCATATTTTATGCTGCTAAACTTGACCATTCTTTGTATTAACAACCTTTTTTGAAACAAATATTTTATTGATTTCAATTTTATATATTAAATTGATACAAAATGCTTTTTAAAAATAATATCATCTTTCATTTTCAATTCAGGGGTTACATGTGTATGTTTGTTACATGGGTATATTGCAGGATGCCGAGGTGTGGGATATGAATGATTCTGTCACCTGGGTAGGGAGCATAGCACCCAATATGTAGTTTTTCAATATTTGCCTCCCTCCGTTACCCCCTCTAGTGGACCTCAGTGTCTATTATTACCATCCTTATATCCACGAGTATCCAATGTTTAGCTCCCACTTACAAGTGAAAACATGAGGTAGCAGGTTTTCTGTTCCTGAATTTATTCACTTAGGATAATGGCCTCCAGCTGCATCCATGTTGCTGCAAAGGACATAATTTTGTTCTTTTTAATGACTCCGTAGTATTCCATGGTGTATGTGTACCACATTTTCTTTATCCAATCGACCATTGATGGGCACCTACGTTGATTCCATGTCATTGTGATACTGAATAGTACTGTGATGAACATATGAATGCATGTGTCTAATTTTGGTAGAACGATTCATTTTCTTTTGGATATGTACCCAGTAATGGGATTGCTTAGTCAAATAGTAGTTCTGCTTTAAGTTCTTTGAGAAATCTCTAAACTGCTTTCACGGTAGCTGAACTAATTTACATTCTCACCAACAGGGAATAACCACTTCCTTTTCTCTGAAGCCTCACCAGCATCTGTTGTTTATCGACTTTTAAAAAATAGCCAGTCTGACTTTTGTGAAAGGGCATCTTACTGTGGTTTTGACTTTCATTTTTCACGTGATTAGTGATGTGGAGCATTTTTCATACATTTTTTGGCCACTTGTATGTCTTCTTTTTAGAAGTGTCTGTTCATGTCTTTTGCCCACTTTTTAATGGAGTTCGTTTTTTGTTTGTTGAATTGTTGAGGTTCCTTATAGATTCTGGATATTATGCCTTTGTCAGATGCATAGCTTGCAAATATTTTCTCCCTTTCTGTAGGTCGTCTGTTTACTCTATTGATAGTTTCTTTTTTTGCTGCACAGAGCTTTTTTGTTTAATTAGGTCCCATTTGTCAATTTTTGTTTTTGTTGAAATTGCTTTTGAGGACTTAGGCATAAATTTTTTGCCAAGGCTGAAGTCCAAATCGTATTTCCTAGGTTATCTTATAGGATTTTTATAGTTTGAGATCTTACATTTAAATCTTTAATCCTTCTTGCATTACCAGTTTTTGTACCTGGTGAAAGTTAGGGGTCCAGTTTCATTCTTCCACCAACCAGTTATCCCCACAGCATTTACTGAATAGGGAATTCTTTTCCCATTGCTTATTTTTATCGACTTTGTGTGTTGACAAACTTTTTAATCACCTGAAACATCTTTGTATTGACTCTGATTTTTATAAAAGCAAGATAGATATAAAGGAGAAAGTTTAACTAATCTGTGAAAATGTTCCATATCTATATTCATAAATAAGTGTGCACTACAAGGCAGTGTTCAGATACTGAAAAATCTTTAATGATATTGTGAACATCATGGCACTAAATTAAAACTCATAAGAGGAACTAAATAAGAAATGTAATTTAAATGCTTAAATATGGCTTTTAAAAGTTGTTCATAAAACTTATGCAATAATTTATATTCTTTAGACCTTACTACATAGAGTCACTTTTGTAACACTTTCCTTAATTCCTTCACTTTTATGCACTACTGATCAGAGTTCTCATTTGTTCAATATTTTGAAATGCATGATCAAAAGGAATTGTGCAAGAATTGTTTATCCTGAGAATATTAAATTTTCTGTAAAATTTTGTAGAAAAAAATGTTTGACATGCTTTGCCTGTGTCAAATACTGGATTTTCATATGTAAAATTTCTTGCACATAATAGTCTATATCATTTTTAGGTATAATTTTTTATTTCTAGTAAGTTAAATTGCACTAAATAATTTTATAAGAACTCTAGAAAAATTAGTATTTTTCATTATGTGTGCAGAAATAAACTCATTTTATGAAATTTTAACAACAGTAACCTTATGATTTCTTTGTTTCCTTTAGAAATGCCCTTAGCCTGCGTAGGTCACAATAGTACCATGATTATCTTGAAATTCATTGAATTTCTGAGTGAAACAATTGATCATGATATAATAGAACATGGGATGGAGAAAAGATAAAACAGATTATGTCCACTGTCAGCAACCAGCCACGAGCTCAAAACCTCTGATTTTAGGGTGAAGACAAGAAAGGAAAAATATTTTTGGATGCAGGGGGTAAAATTTACAATAAAGATTTATTTATTTATTTAACTTTTACTTTAGGCTTGGGGTACCCGTACATGTTTGTTACATAGGTAAATTGCACGTCACAGGGGTTTGGCATATAGATTATTTTGTTACCCAGGTAATAAGCATAGTATTCAATAGGTAGTTTTTTGATCCTCACACTTCTCCCTTCCTCTACCCTCAAGCAGGTTCTAGTGTCTGTTCCCTTTTTCATGTCTGTATGTACTCAATGTTTACCTCTCATTTCTAAATGAGAACATGTGGTATTTGTTTTTCTGTTCCTGTGTTATTTCACTTAGAATAATAACCTACAACTTCAGCCATATTGCACAAAAGACATGATCTAATCTTTTTTATGGCTGCATCATATTCCATGGTGTACGTGTACCACATTTTCTTTATCCATTCTACTATTGATGGGCATTTGGGTTGATTTCATGTTGCTATTGTGAATAGTGCTCCAATGAATATATGAGTACATGTGTCTTTATGGTAGAACAATTTATATTGCTTTGAATATATACCCAATAATGGGATTTCTGGGTTGAATGGTACTTCTGTTTTAAGTTTTTTGAGAAATCACCACACTGCTTTCCACAATGGTTGAACTAATTTACATCTTCACCAGCAACGTATAAGCCTTCTCCTTTCTCCACAACCTCACCAGCATCTGTTAATTTTTGGCTTTTTAATGATATCCATTCTAGCTGATGCAAGAAGGGATTTCAAATGCATTTGATTTGCATTTCTCTAATGATTAGTGATGTTGAGCATTTTTTCATATACTTGCTGGCTGCTTGTATGTCTTCTTTTGAAAAATGTCTGTTCATGTCCTTTGCCTACTTTTTTTTGTAAGGTTGTTTGTTCTTTGCTTGTTAATTTGTTTAAATTCTTATAGATTCCAAATATTAGACTTTAGTCGAATAATAGTTTGTAAATATATTCTTATTCTGTAGGTTGTCTGTTTACTCTGTTGATAGTTTCTTTTGCTGTGCAGAAGCTCTTTAGTTTAGTTAGGTTCCGTTTGTTAAATTTCGTTTTGTTGCAATTGCTTTTGGCATCTTCATCATGAAATCTTTTCCAGGTCTTCTGTTCAGAATGGTATTTCCCAGGTTATCTTCCAGGGTTTTCATAGGTTTAGGTTTTACATTTAAGTCTTTAATCCATTTTGAGTTGATTTTTTTATATTATGTAAGGAAAGGGTCCAGTTTCAATCTTCTGATGGTTAACCATTTATCCCAGCACGATTTATTGAATAGGTAGTCATTTCCTTATTGCTTGTATTTGTCGACTTTGTCAAGGATCAGATGGTTGTAGAAGTGCAGCATTATTTCTGACCTGTCTGTTCTGCTCCGTTGGTCTGTGTGTCTGTTTCATATCAGTACCATGCTGTTTTTGTTACTGTAGCCTTGTAGTATAGTTTTAAGTTGGGTAATGTAATGCCTCCAGCTTTGTTCTTTTGGCTTAGGATTACCTTGGCTATTTGGGCTCTTTTTTGGTTCCATATGAATTTTAAAATAGACTTCTCTAATTCTCTTAAGAATGTCATTAATAGTTTGATAGGAATAGCATTGAGTCTGTAAATTGGGCAGTATGTTTATCTAAACAATATTGAGTCTTCCTACCCATAATCATGAAATATTCTTCCATGTTTTGGTGTCATTTCTGACTACTTTGCACAGTGTTTTGTAAATCTCATTGTAGAGATCTTTCACCTCCCTGGTTAGCCGCATTCATAGGTATTTTATGTTATTTTTTGGGGGGGGGTATCGTAAATGGGAATGCATCCTTAATTTGGCTCTCAGCTTGAATGTTGTTGGAATATAGGAATACTACTGATTTTCGTATGCTGATTTTGTACCCTGAAACTTTGCTGAAGCTGTTTGTCAGATCAAGGAGCTTTTAGGCAGAGACTATGGGGTTTTCTTTCTTTTCTTTTCCCCCATGGGACATTTACTGAAGAATTGCAATTAACATCACCACATCCATCCTTGAATCATCCTTCTGTAACAACTGTTTTCTTTTCAAGCAACATTCATTTGGAGACTTCGGATGAAACAGGGATACAGAGCTAATGCTTCCCTCATTACAAAAGCCAGGGAAATAGCAGCCGGAGTAAAAGGAAATGTTCCAAGAAGCCCATATCCCCAAAACTCCATCTCAACTGCCATTAACAGAAGGAAACCAGCACTGGGAAAAACAAGCAAACCCCAAATGGGTGAAAGTCTTACACATGTACACACATTTTCTTGCTTTCATAGAATCCTGGACAGCACTGAGACTTGGGCCTATACATAGTTTTTTCCCCATGTTGATAGGCTGTTAGATAACTGATTCTAGAGAGAGGGAAAAATCACGTTGTTTGTTCTTTTGACTGATAACTTGATTAGAAATAATTTATATTTCAATAAAGAAGTGCTATTAAAGGTATGAAAAGCAAAGTACCTCAAAATAATTAAGAAGAAACATGGAATACATGCCTGAAACCAATATTATACTAACTCTTATCAATTTGCTAAGAATGACTATGGAGTTTTCTACATGTAGAATCATATTTTATGAAACAGGAATAGTTTGGCTTTCTCTCTTCTCATTTGGATGCCTTTTATTTCTTTTTCTTACCTGATTGCTCTGGCTAGGACTTTCAGTACTGTGTTGACTAGGAGCGGTGAGAGAGGCCATCCTTGTTTTATTCCGTTTTTCAAGGAGAATGCTTCCAGCTTTTGCCCATTCAGTATGATGTTGGCTATGGATTTGTCATAGATGACTTATTATTTTGAGGTATGTTTCTTCAGTGCCTAGTTTGTTGAGGATTTTAACCATGAAGGGATGTCGAATTTTATCAAAAGCTTTTTCTGCATCTATTGAGATGATCATGTGGTTTCTGTTTTTAGTTCTGTTTAAGTGGTGAATCACATTCATTGATTTGTGTATGATGAATCAACTTTGCATCCCAAGAATAAAGCCCATTTGATTGTGGTGGATTGGCTTTTTGATGTGCTTCTCCCTGTCAGCTCAAATGTCCATGGGGTTCGTGGGGTTTCCTGCTGCCAGGATTCCAGAGGCCTGTAGTGAGAGTGGGTCATTCATCACTTGTTCAAGTCATCTCTACCCCAGGCATTGTTGGGGATCAGGAATGAGTCCCAGTGTACAGTAACCTTATGTAGGGTTCCCAGCTTACTCCCCCTTCACCCCAGCATCTGAGTCCTTCCTCCACATGCTTGGAGTGGGTGGTCATCTTGCCTCGAAGCCTTACAATAGAGATTTAGTCATTGCAGTATGGAAGTAAAATTTTAACTACCAAAAGTAAAGGGGTACTATTCTTTTTAGCCAAGTCTTAAGATAAAAGATAAACAATAAAATCTGTTGGGAGCAGGCCCCCCAAAATCTGGCCATAAACTGGCCCCAAAACTGGCCATAAACAAAATCTCTGCAGCACTGTAACATGTTCATAAGGGCCCTAATGCCCACGCTGGAAGGTTGTGGGTTTACGGGAATGAGGGCAAGGAACACCTGGCCTGCCCAGGGCAGAAAACCACTTAAAGGCATTCTTAAGCCACAAACAATAGCATGAGTGATCTGTGCCTTAAGGACATGCTCCTGCTTCAGTTAACTAGCCCAACCTATTCCTTTAATTCGGCCCATCCCTTCGTTTCCCATAAGGGATATTTTAGTTAATTTAATATCTATAGAAACAATGCTAATGACTGGTTTGCTGTTAATAAATACGTGGGTAAATCTCTCTTCAGGGCTTTCAGCTCTGAAGACTGTGAGACCCCAGATTTCCCACTTCGCACCTCTATATTTCTGTGTGTGTGTCTTTAATTCCTCTAGCGCCGCTGGGTTAGGGTCTCCCCGACTGAGCTGGTCTCGGCAAGTGGCGTTCATCGGGGGGTCGAATCCAGGTTGAAGTGTCGCCGGAGTGATGGTTGGAATGGAAAACTAGCTGGAGGACACCTGAGTACTCTTAAAGCAATCCCCATGGTGAGTAAGAAGGGGAGTTCAGAAGCATCAGGGTAACAATGAGACAAGTGTGGGGTGTGGTTCATTCCACCTTGGAACTTTTTCACACTGATGAGGAGGAGGAAGGAGAGTATAACAAAGTAGCAGAAGAGGTTACAGAGCATGTTTATTTACCAGCTAAAGCTAAAGCGGCAAAGGAAGGAGAGGTTCATCCCTACCCTTCTGCACCCCCTCGTTATTATTTTGAAGAAAAAGACGCTCCAGATCTTTCTTTTCTGGAGGACACTAGGCAAAAAGTAGTTGCCCCAGTGACTGTTTGAGCAGTGCCTCAAGCTACCACTCTTAGTTCTATTCAGGCAGGAATTCAGCAAGCTAGACAAGAGGGTGATTAGAGGCTTGGCAGTTTCCTGTTAGAATACAGGATAATATATATATAATATTTCCCTAGATCAACAGCGAAATATTATAGCTACATTTGAGCCTTTTCCTTTTAAATTACTCAAAGAATTTAAACAAGCTATAAATCAGTATGGACCAGGTTCTCCTTTTGTAATGGGACTGTTAAAGAATGTTGCTGTTTCCAATCAGATGATTCCTGCTGACTGGGATGCTCTTACTCGAGCTTGTCTAACTCCTGCTCAGTTCTTACAATTTAAAACTTGGTGGGCAGATGAAGCTTCCATTCAGGCTGCTCAGAATGCCCATGCCCAACCTCAAATTAATATAACTGCAGACCAACTTTTGGGGTTAGCACCTGGGCTGGTTTAGATGCACAACTTGTCATGCAGGATGATGTCATAGAACAGCTTAGAGGAGTGTGCATTAGAGCTTGGGAAAAAATTGCTTCAGATGGGGAACAGTACCTTTCCTTTAGTGCTATAAAACAGGGACTAAGAGAACCATATGTTGATTTTATAGCTCTGTTACAGTAGTCTCTTAAAAAGATGATTACAGATTCAGCTGCCCAGTATATAGGGCTGCAGTTATTAGCTTTCAATAATGCTAATCGAGATTGCCAGGCTTCTCAGTGACCTATCAGAGGGAAAGCACATTTAGCTGATTATATCAAGGCCTGTGACGGTATCGGAGGTAATCTGCATAAAGCTGCTTTGTTGGCACAGGCAACAGCGGGACTGAGAGTGGATAAAGGAAATACTCCATTTCCTGGAGTTTGTTTTAACTGTGGGAAGCATGGTCATACTAAAAAAGAATATAGAAAAAAGTCAGTGAGTCAGGCCACCAGATAGGGGAAAAAAGAAAACTGCTGATCCTGAAATATGTCCAAAATGTAAACAAGGAAAACATTGGGGTAATCAGTGTCACTCTGATAAAGAAGGGAACCTGATTTCAGGAAATGCCATGAGGGGCCCGTCCCAGGCTGCATTCTAAACTGGGGCATTTCCAGCTCAGGCCATTCCCTCAACCCAGTACAATGTCTGTCCCCTGCCACAGCTGGTAGAGCTGTAGTAGATTAATGCTGCACAAGAGCTGTGAGCCTTCTGCCTGGGGAACACCCTGCAAAAGGTCCCAACAGGAGTCTGTGGACCCTTGCTAGCAGGGACAATAGGATTACTTTTAGGAAGGTCTAGTTTAGGTTTTTTTTTTTTTTGACATTTTAAAAAATTTTATTATTATTCTGCTTTAAGTTTTAGGGTACATGTGCACAATGTGCAGGTTTGTTACATATGTATACATGTGCCAAGTTGGTGTGCTGCACCCATCAACTCATCATTTAGTATTAGGTATATCTCCTAAAGCTATCCCTCCCCACTCCCCCCACCCCACAACAGTCCCTGGTGTGTGATGTTCCCCCTCCTGTGTCCATGTGTTCTCACTGTTCAATTCACACCTATGAGTGAGAACATGCGGTGTTTGGTTTTTTGTCCTTGTGATAGTTTGCTGAGAATGATGGTTTTCCAGCTTCATCCATGTCCCTACCAAGGACATGAACTCATCATTTTTTATGGCTGCATAGTATTCCATGGTGTATATGTGCCACATTTTCTTAATCCAGTCTATCATTGATGAACATTTGGGTTGGTTCCAAGTCTTTGCCATTGTGAACAGCACCACAATAAACATATGTGTGCATGTGTCTTTATAGCAGCATGATTTATAATCCTTTGGGTATATACCCAGTAATGGGTTGGCTGAGTCAAATGGTATTTCTAGTTCCAGATCCCGGAGGAATTGCCACACTGACTTCCACAATGGTTGAACCAGTTTACAGTCCCACCAACAGTGTAAAAGTGTTCCTATTTCTCCACATCCTCCCAAGCACCTGTTGTTTCCTGACTTTTTAATGATTGCCATTCTAACTGGTGTGAGACGGTATCTCATTGTGGTTTTGATTTGCATTTCTCTGATGGCCAGTGATGATGAGCATTTTTTCATGTGTTTTTTGGCTGCATAAATGTCTTCTTTTGAGAAGTGTCTGTTCATAGTTTAGGTTTAAAAGGGGCACAAATACATACAGGAGTCATTGTTTCAGATTATAATGGGGAAATTCAAACTGTTATATCTACTTCTGTTCCCTGGAAAGCAGAGCCAGGAGAGTGCATAGCACAGCTCCTGATTGTGCTATATGTGGGAATAGGAAAAAGTGAAATTAAATGAACAGGAGGATTTGGAAGCACAAATAAACAAGGCAAAGCAGCTTATTGGGTAAAACAAATTACTGATAAACATCCTACCTGTGAAATAACTATTCGGGGAAAGAAATTTAAAGGTTTGGTAGATACAGGAGCGGATATTTCAATCATTTCTCTACAGCACTGGTGGTCCACATGGCCAATTCAACCCACTCAATTTAACATAGTTGGAGTTGGGAAAGCTGCTGAAGTATATCAAAGTAGTTATATTTTACATTGTGAAGGGCCCGATAGACAACCTGGGGCTATTCAACCAATTATAACTTCTCTACCTATAAATTTATGGGGAAGAGATTTATTACAACAGTGGGGAGCACAAGTTCTAATTCCAGAACAATTATATAGCCCTCAAAGTCAACATACAATGCATGAAATAGGGTATGTCCCTGGTATGGGACTAGAAAAAAATTTGCAAGCTTTGAAAGTGGTTCTCCCAGCATGCAACTGGAGATCTGAGAATGGGCAGACTGCCTCCTCAAGTGGGTCCCTGACGCCTGACCCCCGAGCAGCCTAACTGGGAGGCACCCCACAGTAGGGGCAGACTGACACCTCACATGGCCGGGTACTTCTCTGAGACAAAACTTCCAGAGGAACGATCAGACAGCAGCATTCACAGATCATGAAAATCCACGGTTCTGCAGACACCGCTGCTGATACCCAGGAAAACAGCATCTGGAGTGGACCCCTAGCAAACTCCAACAGACCTGCAGCTGAGGGTCCTGTCTGTTAGAAGGAAAACTAACAAACAGAAAGGACATTCACACCAAAAACCCATCTGTACATCACCATAATCAAAGACCAAAAGTAGATAAAACCACAAAGATGGGGAAAAAACAACAGAAAAACTGGAAACTCTAAAAAGCAGAGCACCTCTCCTCCTCCAAAGGAACGCAGTTCCTCACCAGCAACGGAACAAAGCTGGATGGAGAATGATTTTGACGAGTTGAGAGAAGAAGGCTTCAGATGATCAAATTACTCTGAGCTACAGGAGGAAATTCAAACCAAAGGAAAAGAAGTTGAAAACTTTGAAAAAAATTTAGAAGAATGTATAACTAGAATAACCAACACAGAGAAGTGCTTAAAGGAGCTGATGGAGCTGAAAGCCAAGGCTCGAGAACTACGTGAAGAATGCAGAAGCCTCAGGAGCCGATGCGATCAACTGGAAGAAAGGTTATCAGTGATGGAAGATGAAATGAATGAAATGAAGCGAGAAGGGAAGTTTAGAGATAAAAGAATAAAAAGAAATGAACAAACACTCCAAGAAATATGGGACTATGTGAAAAGACCAAATCTACATCTGATTGGTGTACCTGAAAGTGACGGGGAGAATGGAACCAAGTTGGAAAACACTATGCAGGATATTATCCAGGAGAACTTCCCCAATCTAGCAAGGCAGGCCAACATTCAGATTCAGGAAATACAGAGAATGCCACAAAGATACTCCTTGAGAAGAGCAACTCCAAGACACATAATTATCAGATTCACCAAGGTTGAAATGAAGGAAAAAATGTTAAGGGCAGCCAGAGAGAAAGGTCTGGTTACCCACAAAGGGAAGCCCATCAGACTAACAGCAGATCTCTCAGCAGAAATTCTACAAGCCAGAAGAGAGTGGGGTCCAATATTCAACATTCTTAAGGAAAAGAATTTTCAACCCAGAATTTCATTTCCAGCCAAACTAAGCTTCATAAGTGAAGGAGAAATAAAATATTTTACAGACAAGCAAATGCTGAGAGATTTTGTCACCACCAGGCCTGCCCTAAAGGAGCTCCTGAAGGAAGTGCTAAACATGGAAAGGAACAACCGGTACCAGCCGCTGCAAAATCATGCCAAAAGGTAAAGACCATTGAGACTAGGAAGAAACTGCATCAACTAACGAGCAAAATAACTAGCTAACATCATAATGACAGGATCAAATTCACATATAACAATATTAACTTTAAATGTAAACGGACTAAATGCTGCAATTAAAAGACACACACCGGCAAATTGGATAAAGAGTCAACACCCATCAGTGTGCTGTATTCAGGAAACCCATCTCATGTGCAGAGACACATATAGGCTCAAAATAAAAGGATGCAGGAAGAGCTACCAAGCAAATGGAAAACAAAAAAAGGCAGGGGTTGCAATCCTAGTCTCTGATAAAAGAGACTTTAAACCAACAAAGATCAAAAGAGACAAAGAAGGACATTACATAATGGTAAAGGGATCAATTCAACAAGAAGAGCTAACTATCCTAAATATATATGCACCCAATACAGGAGCACCCAGATTCATAACGCAAGTCCTTAGTGACCTACAAAGAGACTTAGACTCCCACACAATAATAATGGGAGACTTTAACACCCCACTGTCAACATTAGACAGATCAACGAGACAGAAAGTTAACAAGGATACCCAGGAACTGAACTCAGCTCTGCACCAAGCGGACCTAATAAACATCTACAGAACTCTCCACCCCAAATCAACAGAATATACATTTTTTTCAACACCACACCACACCTATTCCAAAATTGACCACATAGTTGGAAGTAAAGCTCTCCTCAACAAATGTAAAAGAATACAAATTATAACAAACTGTCTCTCAGACCACAGTGCAATCAAACTAGAACTCAGGATTAAGAAACTCACTCAAAACCACTCAACTACATGGAAAGCTAGCAGAAGGCAAGAAACAAATAAAATCAGAACAGAACTGAAAGAAATAGAGACACAAAAACACCCTTCAAAAAATTAATGAATCCAGGAGGTGGTTTTTTGAAAGGATCAACAAAACTGATAGACCACTAGCAAGACAAATAAAGAAGAAAAGAGAGAAAAATCAAATAGATGCAATAAAAATGATAAAGGGGATATCACCACTGATCCCACAGAAATACAAACTGCCATCAGAGAATACTACAAACACCTCTACGCAAATAAACTAGAAAATCTAGAAGAAACGAATAAATTCCTTGACACATACACTCTCCCAAGACTAAACCAGGAAGAAGTTGACTCTCTGAATAGGCCAATAACAGGCTCTGAAATTGTGGCAATAATCAATAGCTTACCAACCAAAAAGAGTCCAGGACCAGATGGATTCACAGCCGAATTCTACCAGAGGTACAAGGAGGAACTGGTACCATTCCTTCTGAAACTATTCCAATCAATAGAAAAAGAGGGAATCCTCCCTAACTCATTTTATGAGGCCAGCATCATCCTGATACCAAAGCCGGGCAGAGATACAACCAAAAAAGAGTATTTTAGATGAATATCCTTGATGAACATTGATGCAAAAATCCTCAATAAAATACTGGCAAATCGAATCCAGCAGCATATCAAAAAGCTTATCCACCATGATCAAGTGGGCTTCATCCCTGGGATGCAAGGCTGGTTCAATATATGAAAATCAATAAATGTAATCCAGCATATAAACAGAAACAAAGACAAAAACCACGTGATTATCTCAATAGATGCAGAAAAGGCCTTTGAGAAAATTCAAGAACGCTTCATGCTAAAAACTCTCAATAAATTAGGTATTGATGGGACGTATCTCAAAATAATAAGAGCTATCTATGACAAACCCACAGCCAATATCATACTGAATGGGCAAAAACTGGAAGCATTCCCTTTGAAAACGGGCACAAGACAGAGATGCCCTCTCTCACCACTCCTATTCAACATAGTGTTGGAAGTTCTGGCCAGGGCAATTAGGCAGGAGAAGGAAATAAAGGGTATTCAGTTAGGAAAAGAGGAAGTCAAATTGTCCCTGTTTGCAGATGACATGATTGTATATCTAGAAAACCCCATTATCTCAGCCCCAAACCTCCTTAAGCTGATAAGCAACTTCAGCAAAGTCTCAGGATACAAAATCAATGTACAAAAATCACAAGCATTCTTATACACCAATAACAGACAAACAGAGAGCCAAATCATGAGAGAACTCCCATTCACAATTGCTTCAAAGAGAATAAAATACTTAAGAATCCAAGTTACAAGGGACGTGAAGGACCTCTTCAAGGAGAACTACAAACCACTGCTCAAGGAAATAAAAGAGGATACAAACAAATGGAAGAACATTCCATGCTCATGGGTAGGAAGAATCAATATGGTGAAACTGGCCATACTGCCCAAGGTAATTTATAGATTCAATGCCATCCCTATCAAGCTACCAATGACTGTCTTCACAGAATTGCAAAAAACTACTTTAAAGTTCATATGGAACCAAAAAAGAGCCCGCATCACCAAGTCAATCCTAAGCCAAAAGAACAAAGCTGGAGGCATCACACTACCTGACTTCAAACTATACTACAAGGCTACAGTCACCAAAACAGCATGGTACTAGTACCAAAACAGAGATATAGATCAATGGAACAGAAGGAAGCCCTCAGAAATAATGCCGCATATGTATAACTATCTCATCTTTGACAAACCTGACAAAAACAAGCAATGGGGAAAGGATTCCCTATTTAATAAATGGTGCTGGGAAAACTGGCTAGCCATATGTAGAAAGCTGAAACTGGATCCCTTCCTTACACCTTATACAAAAATTAATTCAAGATGGATTAAAGACTTAAACATTAGACCTAAAACCATAAAAACCCTAGAAGAAAACCTAGGCATTACCATTCAGGACATAGGCATGGACAAGGACTTCATGTCTAAAACACCAAAAGCAATGGCAATGAAAGCCAAAATTGACAAATGGGATCTAATTAAACTAAATAGCTTCTGCACAGCAAAAGAAACTACCATCAGAGTGAACAGGCAACCTACAAAATGGGAGAAAACTTTCCCAACCTACTCATCTGACAAAGGGCTAATATCCAGAATCTACAATGAACTCAAACAAATTTATAAGAAAAAAACAAACAACCCCATCAAAAAGTGGGCAAAGGACATGAACAGACACTTCTCAAAAGAAGACATTTATGCAGCCAACAGACACATGAAAAAATGCTCATCATTACTGGCCATCAGAGAAATGCAAATCAAAACCACAATGAGATACCATCTCACACCAGTTAGAATGGCAATCATTAAAAAGTCAGGAAACAACAGGTGCTTGGGAGGATGTGGAGAAATAGGAACACTTTTACACTGTTGGTGGGACTGTAAACTAGTTCAACCATTGTGGAAGTCAGTGTGGCGATTCCTCCGGGATCTGGAACTAGAAATACCATTTGACCCAGCCATCCCATTACTGGGTATACACCCAAAGGATTATAAATCATGCTGCTATAAGGACACATGCACACGTATGTTTATTGTGGCACTATTCACAATAGCAAAGACTTGGAACCAACCCAAATGTCCAACAATGATAGACTGGATTAAGAAAATGTGGCACATATACACCATGGAATACTATGCAGCCATAAAAAAGGATGAGTTCATGTCCTTTGTAGGGACATGGATGAAATTGCAAATCATCATTCTCAGTAAACTATCAGAAGGACAAAAAACAAAACACCGCATGTTCTCACTCATAGATGGGAATTGAACAATGAGAACACATGGACACAGGAAGGGGAACATCACACACTGGGGACTGTTGTGGGGTTGGGGAAGGGGGGAGGGTTAGCATTAGGATATATACCTAATGCTAAATGATGAGTTGATGGGTGCAGCACACCAGCATGGCACGTGTATACATATGTAACTAACCTGCGCATTGTGCACATGTACACTAAAACTTAAAGTATAATAATAAAAAAAAGAAAAAAAAACTTAAAGCAAATATGGCAACATTTTCAGATTAAAAACTGCTGGGTGATGAGTACCTGAAGAAAAAAAAAAAAAAAAAGAACCGCTTCAAGCGGAAACACAAAGTTCTCGCCAAAGATTAGGAAATAATTTTTGATGGCGGCCATTGTTAAGCCTCCAGAACCTATAGCTTTAAAATGGTTAACAGATAAGCCAATTTGGATAGAACAATGGCTGCTAAGTAAAGAGAAACTGGAGGCTTTAGAGACATTAGCTACTGAACAATTAGAAAATGGGCACGTAGCTCCAACATTTTCCCCTTGGAATTCTCCAGTTTTCGTAATTAAGAAAAAATCAGGTAAATGGAGAATGTTAACTGACTTAAGAGCCATTAATTCAGTTATACAACCTATGGGAGCATTACAGCCAGGATTGTACCTTCTCCTGCTATAATTCCAAAAAATTGGCCTTTAATAATCACAGATTTAAAAGACTATTTCTTTACTACCCTCTTAGCTGAGCAAGACTGTGAACAGTTTGCATTTACAATTTCTGCAGTAAACAACCTGCAGTCTGCTAAGCATTTTCATTGTTTTATAGATGGGTCTAGTAATGGTAAGTACTCTTATTTTGGCTCAAAAAGTAAAGTTTTCCAGACATCCTATACTTCAGCTCAAAAAGCGGAGCTGGTAGCTGTAATTGAGGTATTAATTGCTTTTGATATACCTATTAATGTGATTTCTGATTCTTCATACGTGGTTCATTCCACACAAGTAATTGAAAGTGTTCAGTTACAATTGCATACAGATGAACAACTGATGACTTTATTTACCCAATTGTAAAGAGCAGTTAGGAGTAGAATGCATCCTTTTTACATCACTCACTTTAGGGCTCATACACCTCTTCCAGGACCTTTGACTGAAGGGAATCAAATGGCTGATCACCTAGTTGCTAATGCAATATCTAATGCTAGACACTTTCACAATTTAACCCATGTTAATGCCTCTGGTCTCAAAGGCAGATACAGCATTACCTGGAAAGAAGCTAAAGCTATTATCCAGCAATGCCCAACTTGCCAAATGGTACATTCCTCATCTTTTACAGGAAGAGTTAATCCTAAAGGACTGGAACCTAACTCTCTTTGGCAAATGGATGTCACACATGTTCCCTCATATGGGAGACTAGCTTATGTACATGTATGGGTGGACACTTTTTCTCACTTTGTCTGGGCTACACGCCAATCAGGAGAGTCTTCTGCCTGTGTTAAACATCACCTTTTGCAGTGTTTTGTGGTGATGGGCATTCCAGCTTCTATTAAAACAGATAATGCCCCAGGTTATACTAGCCAAGCTCTAACTACATTTTTCCCTATGTGGAATATTAAACACATTACTGGTATCCCATACAATTCTCAAGGACAAGCCATAGTAGAAAGAATGAATCTCTCCCTAAAACAGCAGTTGCAAAAGCAGAAAGGGGTGACAGAGAATATGGAACACCACAGATACAACTGAATCTAGCATTATTAACTTTAAATTTTTTGAGCCTGCCCAAAGGCCAGATGTTATCAGCAGCTGAACAGCATCTGCAGAAACCAGCTGCAAAGACAGAAGCAGAACAATTGGTTTGGTGGAGAGATCCAATAACAAAAAGTTGGGAAACAGGTAAAATAATAACTTGGGGTAGAGGTTATGCTTGTATTTCTCCAGGCCAAAATCATCAGCTGATTTGGATGCCATCAAGACACCTGAAACCTTATCATGAACCAGATGCCAAGGAAGGGACTCTGGGAGGATCCCAAGGACCCCCTGGTTGCAGCCATGTCGAGACTGACACTGAGGAGGACCCCAACTGTCAAGAGCAACACCCGTCGAACACAGCCACCCATCTGGGGACAGATCAAGAAGCTGTCACAGATGGTGGAAGAAAACCTGAGGAAAGTGGGACAACCAGTCACAACGAGTAATTTAATGGTAGCTATGATAGTGGTTATCACCACTGCCGTGAGTATTCCTTCAATATGGGCTGACACAGAGAACAATTATACTTATTGGGTATATTTATGAAACTTGGCTGACAATAATGCCTGGATGCAATCACTCTATGACACAGTTACACATGCTTTCTGATCTCAGTATTTACCATAATAATTCTGCTCATATAATTGAGGCACACCGCCCTCAGAAACCTATTTGTAAACAGGATTGGACTCAGTTAGAAAAAAATGAACCAACTTGTTTAGGAAGATTGCATTGCAGAACAGGCAGTGGTGCTGCACAATGATTCCTATGGAATCATTATTAATTGGTCCTCTAAGTGGATTTTTAGCTTGAATTGCACCTCTCAGTCTGCGTGCCACAGCCACACTATGTTCAGATGATCTGAACAAAATGGTCAGATGGTAGAAATGATAAGAAGTACGGCAAAAGTTCCTATTATCTGGACCCATGGTGGTATAGTGGCACCTCACCTCAAATGATATGGCCCACTCTAGGAGCTTAACATAACGATTTAAAATTAAAAGAACAAATATTTAAAGTACCCCAGGCATACCTGACCTTAATGCCAGGAACTGGAGTGCTTGAAGGAGTTACAGACAAATTAACAGCTAGTAACCCATTAAAATGGATAAAAACACTTGGAAGCTATGTGATTTTAATGATGATTGTGCTTTTAATCTGTGTTGTTTGTCTTTGTATAGTCTGCAGATGTGGATCCTGACTCCTGCAAGAAGTAGCCCACCCTGACAAAGCTGCCTTTGCGTTTATCGATTTGCAAATCAAAGAAGTGGGACATGTTGGGAGCAGGCCCCCCAAAATCTGGCCATAAACTGGCCCCAAAACTGGCCATAAACAAAATCTCTGTAACATGTAACATGTAACAAAAGCACTGTAACATGTTCGTAATGGCCCTAACGCCCACGCTGGAAGGTTGTGGGTTTATGGGAATGAGGGCAAGGAACACCTGGCCTGCCCAGGGCGGAAAACCACTTAAAGGCGTTCTTAAGCCACAAACAATAGCATGAGTGATCTGTGCCTTAAGGACATGCTCTTGCTGCAGTTAACTAGCCCAACCTATTCCTTTAATTCAGCCCATCCCTTCATTTCCCATAAGGCACACTTTTAGTTAATTTAATATCTGTAGAAACAATGCTAATGACTGGTTTGCTGTTAATAAATACGTGGGTAAATCTCTGTTCAGGGCTTTCAGCTCTGAAGGCTGTGAGACCCCAGATTTCCCACTTCGCACCTCTATATTTCTGTGTGTGTCTTTATTTCCTCTAGCGCTGCTGGGTTAGGGTCTCCCCGACTGAGCTGGTCTCGGCAAAAATCCCACAAAACATTACTACAGATGTTATGGTGATGAGTTGACAATTTAGAAATTATTGCTGATGAATTAAATTTTGGTATTTTATTAAAGATATGGATAATGTATTAAAAGAAAAGACAAAACCAATTTTTGCTGACTATAAACTATAAATGTGACATGCTTACAGTATTAGAATTAAATGCGTATAAATATTATAAAAATAATTGTGATCCTAATATGAACTTATAGGAAATTTGTGGCAATTAGGTCATTCAGTTATAATAAAGTTTTCATTACATGCTAAATTATAGGAAGGCATACACATTTATTAAATGGTTACGTGATACAACTTGATGTTGACTTTAATAAATACATAATGTAGATCTGAGCTGATATTTAGTGGTTAAATGCAGGTCTTATGAATATTGCTTTGGATTCATCTCATGAAATTTTATCCCCTAAAAAAACCCTTTGAAGTTATAAAAGATAATCATATTTTCTCCATAAAAGAATAATTATACACAGTCACAAACATACATAAACAAAACTATGCCTATATAAAAATAAAAATATAAAGAGTTAAAACCCAATGTGTTCTTTAATTCAGCTGGATTAAGCAAGTATTTAAATTTTTAATTTACTTATGACTTATTATCAGAGGCTGCAGAAAAAGGTGATAATAATGAAAACATCAGAGAAACAAGCTTCCTGAATTTGTATGAGGAGTTAGCCTGTAAACCAATATTTCAAAGTATATGGCAGCAACAGACAAGCCATATTATATATAATCATTCTAAACAAGCATTTCCCTGATCTGTTAGATGCTGAATTTGTATACTGCTAAGAGGCAGTTTATAGTATGGCTCAATAAGAAGTTACCTTTCTTCTTGGCTGAAAGAGATTTAACTGTGATTCAATGACATTACTCAGACTTTATGGCCTATCCCTCTTTGGGAAGGAAAAAAAATTATGGAATGATCTGCCATTTTGAAATAATCTGAAATATTTCTGTGATTCCTATGCGTACAGACTGCTGACTATTTCAAACACTTTAGGGATCTTATTTAAATGCAAAAGTAATTTCTAGTCTTGCAGTTATAAAAAAGAACTGTTAGTAACATTATTGTTGCCATCAAATATATATTTGCAATCATCCATTATTGTGTCAACAATTAAAATGCATGGAGAAAAAAATATTAAACAATTGTTTGTTCCGGGAAAAAAGAAGAAAAGAATTGACACTTGATAACTTTGCACTTCAAGCAACAAAGCCTTCCTGCCCTCCTTAATTTAATAAGAAGAAGGGAGAGTGTTGTGATTTCTCGTTCGATGTTAAAGATCAGACACTCATTGATACTTTGTTCTACCATTTTTATGATGGTTGAAATACAAGAGTTTATTCATGTCTGAGTGTTTTCTGTTTACTTTATTCTAGCCTCATCTGATTTTCTATAGAATAGATCCAGATGGCCTTAATTAATCTGTACAGTCACTTGAGGATGGCTTTGAAATGGGAAAGGTTCCCTTGTTGCCCCGCAGGGCGTGTGACAGGGGGAGTGGCTCGCTTCTTCAGTGCCCTGCTGTTCAAACCTCTAGGGGAGCATAGTGGGACTCCAACCCCATGACAGCGGCTACGGGTGGCTGTTTACAGCTCCTGTAGTTCCAGTGGGCATGTGTTACAGGGTGCTCTATTTTAGTTTTGCCGTCTATAGGAGGCTTGTGTTAACCAGCTCAATTAGACCCTCTACCTTTTCAGAAACCCCTCTGTTGCAAGGACAGAGGGCTTTCTGAATCCCAGGGTTCTTGCCTTGGTGTACTGGAAGAATCGGACCACACCTGGGCTTGGAGAATGAGTGCAAGGTTTTATTGAGTGGAAGTAGCTCTCAGCCTAGGGACCTAGCAGACTTCTCTGGGGACCCAGAAGGGAGATGGTTTTCCCCAGGAGTTGGGCCACTCAGCGGCCCGAGTGCTCCTTCAACTGTCCCAGCCAGACTCCACCTTATTCTGTCGGTCAGTGGCCTGCCGGCCGGCCGGTGCCTTTCTGTGCATTCCTCCCCAATGTGCTCCTTTCGACATCCAGCCGCTTTTGTCTCTGCTGCCTTGCTAGGGTCTCAGGGTTTTGTTTGTTTGTTTGTTTGTTTTGAGACGGAGTCTCCCTCTGTCGCCCAGGCTGGAGTGCCATGGTGCCATCTCAGCTCACTGCAAGCTCAGCCTCCCAGGTTCACGCCATTCTCCTGCGTCAGCCTCCCGAGTAGCTGGGACTACAGGTGCCCGCCACCATGTCCGGCTAATTTTTGTATTTTTAGTAGAGAGGGGGTTTCACATGTTAGCCAGGATGGTTTCCATCTCCTGACCTCGTGATCTGCCCGCCTTGGCCTCCCAAAGTGCTGGGATTACAGGCAAAAGCCATCGCGCCGGACCGGTTCTTGAGTTTTCATAGTCACAGGACGGGGGGCAGTGTGGCAAGCCAGGGTGGTCTTGGGAAATACAACATTTCGGCACGAAATGCCTGTCCTCACCAAGGTCTGTTGGGGTGGAGCACTAGCCTGGGACCCTCCCCTCCTCTACGGACACTTCCTTTCCCCTCTTCCATACCGTTTAAAGGCACCACTCTCTTTTCTTCCGAGCACTGCCTATCAGTACAAAACTCAATCAGAAGATATTTGTTTGTGAAAGTTACTAAATATAGTTTACAACCAATGATCACTTGAGTAATTATGCTACGGTTAACAATCTGATAAGTGGGGTATAGAATAAAATAGAAGTATATGTACTCAAATCAATGAAGTAGAGGAGTTAACTAACATGAAAGAATTGGAGAATGATATAGAACAATAC
The DNA here is from genome assembly GCF_000001405.40 of Homo sapiens. NCBI lineage: Eukaryota > Metazoa > Chordata > Mammalia > Primates > Hominidae > Homo > Homo sapiens. The sequence continues at coordinate 39,186,140 of NC_000012.12, read as the reverse complement.
TATTAAATTATAAACCATAACATAGATCACAAATAGTGTAGACATTTTCAGAAGAAAGAGATCAGTATAGGCTGAAATAAGGAGTATTTATGAAGGAGCGCAGAACTAGAACTGAATTCCAAAGGCTATTTAGAATTCAGTTTGGTAGAGGGAAAAAAAAATAGTCAGTTTAGGTATTTAACACTGTTTTGACCAGATGTAAAAATACAAATTTATATATTTTCAGGGAACATATATTCATAATAATTTTTATTGTAAAGTAAATTACTTATATATATCCAAATATAAGTGTTTTTTGGCATCAACACTCAGAAAATGCTTGTATTATATTTAATTCTTTATAAAGTTTCTTATTATAGGCACTGTTTTAAATGTTTTGAGAAGTAAAGTACTATGGGAGGAAAATATGGTATCCTAAAAATAACCTCAATCAATGCTTGCTCTCAGAGATTACCAGATAAAATCTACAGAAATAGAAGCAAAAATATTGGCATACAGTCAGCAATTATTCCTGGATGTAAGGCATCATAATTCTTTTTATTTATTTATTTATTTATTTTTTATTATTATACTTTAAGTTTTAGGGTACATGTGCACATTGTGCAGGTTAGTTACATATGTATACATGTGCCATGCTGGTGAAGGCATCATAATTCTAAACATTCCATGTCATTACACATAGTAACATTGTGGAAATTATAAATAATAGCCCATTAGACTAATTTTCATAACAAAGTCTTAAAGTTATGTAAAAGACAAACGTGGCTTAAGATAGAATTTCCAGGGATGAAATCGTATACCACTTCCCAAATGACTTTATCTCTAACAGCTTAGATGGAAATGAAGATATACATTCCGGGAAAATGTGTTGGGTATCTCAAAGTTTATTTGGTAATGACAAGAGGATTGATATAGATGCATGTTTGGATAAAATTATTTTCAAGGTAGAAAAAGTGATACTCACCAACTAATAGAATGTTAAATATTCTGTTTAAATTAATAAATGTTGTAAGTATATATTTGTTTATTTTATTTAATTCATGTGGCACATGTTACTTTTTTTTAACTGGCTCTTCTAATTGGGAAAATTTGGACTATCTTACACTCCATATCATTTTTTTGTGAGGGCCTACGTGGGATTCTACAGGTGACTCCAATAAATGTCACTAGACCACTTTGAGGATGGAACCAAGGCCTATGGAATGAGTTCTCATTTTTAATGCCAGTTTCTTTCTTTAGTGAGGGGATCATTATTACCAAAGCTTTATTGATCTAATTTAATTCCACCTTTTTGTCTAGTCCAATAACAAGTCACCGAGGTGGTCAAGATCACTTGGTCTTCTAGACCAGTGGTCTCCAATCCTTTTGGCACTAAGGAGCAGTTTTGTGGAAGACAATTTTTTCACGGATGGGGGGTGGTAGGTGGGGGGTGTTGAGGGGGATGGAGGATGGTTTGAGAATGGAAGTGTTCCACCTCAGATCATCAGGCATTAGAGTCTCATAAGGATCACACAAGCTAGATCCACCTCTTGCATGAGCAGTTCACAATAGGGTTCACAATAGGGTTCATGCTCCTCTGCTGCCGCTGGGGGCTGAAAGGAGGCGGAGCTCAGGTGGTAATGCTCACTTGCCGGTGCTCACCTCCTGCTGTGTGGCCCAGTTCCTAACAGGCCATGGACTGGTACCAGTCCACAGCCCAGGAACTGGGGACCCCTGTTCTAAATAGCACTCATCTAAATATCTCTACTATCCAGCATATCCTTTACAACTAGCTTATTCACTTCAGCACTTCTTTTAGGAAGAAATAAACCGTGGACACATTTCTGTCAAATTTACTGAGAATTGATTCTGGCACAAAAAAAGAAAGCAACATTATCTGTGAAACAGAATGATTTTAATTGAACATGCTGGTTAATTGCCCAACTCACAAAGCCAGAATATGAACAAAGTATGTTACTTGCAATTAATGTTACTATTTCACCAGTAGCAACAATGAAATTTAGAGGTAATTGTTTGGAAAGGACAGTCAGATTATCTAGTATCCAGAATAACAACTTGACTGATTATATCAATAATTTTCAAAATATATTTTACAATGATGCTTAAGGATTTCTGCAAATGCTGTAATAAAATTTAGTTTTTAGACTTAAAGCTGTGGTTAAAACAATAATATAAAGGAATGTGTGATGCACAAGTATGTAGCAAATATTAACATGTTAGAAGATGCTAAAGTATTAACATGCATTCTCATTTACTGAATTTAAAAATCAGGAAATATGATATAAATGGGAATTTATAAAATGATGTATACTGTGCTGGTTAAAGGCTACTCTTATCTGTTTAATATATTTGTGTTCCATGTATTATGTGTACTGAAGGTGAAAACCTAGAAAAGTATGTAGAGTCAGAAAGCTGGTTTTCACCTTGAAGTGTTTTCTAAAGCTGTGTGAACTTGAGTTTAATTTTTCCTGACGTGCTGGGCATAAAAGAAATGAAGCAAAGATGTAAGCCTACCTAGTGTGAAATATCAGTGTTCAAAACTCTTTTGTATAAATATAGGACTTCAAGTGGCTACACACTCAGTATAAAAGTGAACAAGAAAAGGCCTCTTAATGTCAAACTCCAGGAAACTTACAGCAAAATTACCTATCTTCAAACTTGGCACTGAATAAAGTGGGAAAATGTATATCTCTGAGGACGCAGAATTGCAAGTTCTCCATTGGATTTGCAGCTCACAATTCATACTACTTGGGTGATTAAAAAAACAGCCCAAAGTTAATATCTTTTAAAACTAGAATTTGTGATTGGTAGAGCCTGCAGTTGGCAGAAGGAAATACATGCCTTCTCTGAAGAAACCAACTTTAAACCAGGTCTCAACAAATTCTTAGAGGTAAAGAGATCCAAGAAACATAAAGTAACAGAAAAAAAAAATCACAGATTATTCAAGGAAATAAAACCCTGTGAGTTACAAAAAAGCAGAAAAAAGACTAAAGAATAATTGACCCAAACTGTAGATATTGGAATTATATTTAATATATTTGAAAGCATAAAAGAAGGGAATAAAAAATCTAAGAAAATTCAAAAAAAAAAAAAGAAAACTTCTAGAAAAGAGGATGCACTTAGTAGCATAGGAAACCCATTTGAAGACAGAATTAGAGTAGTGTAGATCTGTAGGAAGTATCCAGACTACACCCCAGAGACAGTGGAATGGAAATGTGAAAGAGAGGTTGGCAATAAGGAGGAGAGAGTGGAATGGTCTAACGTACATTATTAATGGTGCTTCAGAAAGGGAGGAGAGGAATCATAGGGAAGACACATTGAAAAGATAGTGAATGAGAATTTTTCAGAATTTATGAAAGACACCAAACCATAGATTAAGAAATTTTAGTTACCCCAAGCAGGATAAATGTAAGAAAAATCTACAAAATCTATACTTAGACACTTTTCAGTTAATCTGGAAAATCACAAAAAGTAAGAGAAAAGTTTAAAAGCAACCAGAAAGGAATATACATAGATAGATTATCTATCTATCTATCTATCTATCTATCTATCTATCTATCATCTATCTATCTATAGATTACCTTCAAAGGACTGTATCTACTATTAGACTTAAAACTGCTTTGCATTGACAACAATGGGAAACAGAATACTGTGAAGTAATCATTATAATGACTTAAGAGAAAAATAACTGTCATCTAGATTTCTATTCCCAATAACATATACTTCAAAAGTAAGGTAATATTTTAAAAACAAAAACCAAAGAGGGCTTGCCACAATAAGATCTTCACACACAAAGAAGTTTCTCCTTTAATTCAGGTTTATTTTGGGCAGAAGGAAAATATCCCATATGGAAGCTGTCAGTAACAAGAAGGGATGATAATCAAAGAAAATGTGAGTAATTCTAAACAATCATTGACTGCATAATAGGAATCATATATTTTTTAAAAATGTAAAACATACACATTAAAACCAAAATACATGAAAAAAGGATATATTTTAGGAGGAGTCATCAGAATTAAAGGTTATGTTTCAGAAGTCAGTAAAAACACTTAATAAAAAATGTTAAGTTATATTTGCCTGTGTAAACTTTTAGAGTGAGCACTCAAGGAAAGAAATGAAGTTACAATGACTACATTCTAAGTTCACGGTTCACTGCACTTGCCTAGACTACTAGATACTGGATTCTGTTTTTAAGACTTATTAAGATTTACATTTCCTAGCACAGAGTCCAATATTATACAAGAAACAATTTCCATTGTCAGATTTTGACTACCATTGATCAGAGGAAATTGAAGCGAGTCTATTACTAACTCTCTGACTATTTTCACAGGACAGTTCCTGTTACACTTGGTGGGAGAGCATAGGAATGGCATAGAAATACACACTGGTTTTTGGTTATCTCTGAATGACAAAAAGTGCTTTTTAATATTCTAATGACTAAAGTCTACAAGTTCTGAACTTTCTGTAGTGGATTCCTTAAATGCCTGTTTTAATCAACACTAGTCCTTTAGATAATTATTTATTCATACTTTTATATTTCTCTCTTAAATGGTCTGTTCCTCATTTAATGGAAAAGTGTGTGTGTGTGTGTGTGTGTGTATGCTACATAAGCATTTAATTATCACCAAATTATCAGCAAATATCATATCATTTGTTCCTGAAAAGAATTTCAGGAGGTAGAAAGGACAGATATTGAACTTATTTCAAAAGTTGGAACTTCAGCTTAGAAGGGTTAAGTGATGAACACAAATCCACACAGCTAGTGATTGACAGGATTAAATAATCCATCTGATTTCCAGCCAGGTGCCTTTCCAACAAGTTAATGCTCACTTATAAATGAAAAATGTTTGGTCATGTTAAGGACACAGAAGCTCTTTGGGAAATTTGCACTGAAAGGTTTGTACTTGCGTATATCTACAGCAGACTCTGAATAAGAAAAAAAAAAAAAGACTACTTGATACACCAGTGCAGGAAACAAAAATCTTTTTGCTAAAATTTAAAAAAAGAAATACATTTAAAGGGAAATTTCCAGATTTTCCAAACCTTAGTATTGTACTTACAGTGTTAGATTGTATGCATCATGTGACACATATGGACATGAATTTCCCATTTAATATTTGATGGTAGCATTATGGGTTAAATACAAATTTAAGATCCACTTTTATTCCTACCTGTGGATTTACTTTCTCTCTTTCCTTCTTTACCTGTCATAGAAATACTTTGGACCTCACAGTCATAGACTAGAATTTGTGTATACTTAAGCATCCATCTCAGTTTTGTTTCTTTGATGTAGTACTTGAATTTTCTGACACTGTCACTTTTTAAAGTTTTATTGGTAGTAGATTGGCCAAAATCTCACCCTATGAAGGAACTGATTTCTACTAAAGCAGGGGTCCTCCAAACCCCGGGCTGCAGAGCAGTACCAGTCTATGGCCTGTTAGGAACCGGGTGGCACAGCAGGAGGTGAGCAGCGAACAAGCAAATGAAGCTTCATCTGTATTTACAGCCACTCTCCATCACTCACATTACTGCCTGAGCTCCACTTCCTGTCAGATCAATGGCAGCATTAGATTCTCATAGGAAGGAGTGGGAACCCTATTGTGAACTGCGCATGTGAGGGATCTAGGTTGTGAGAATCTAACTAATGCCTGATGATCTGAAGTGGAACAGTTTTATCCCAAAACAATCCCCCACCCCTCCCCATCCATGGAAAAATTGTCTTCCACAAAACTGGTCCCGGGGACAAAATTGTTGGGAACCACTGCTTTAAAGAGCTCTAATGAAAAAAAAATGGACTGTGATGATGACTATTATTATGCCCTCTTGCCCGGCACGGTGGCTCATGCCTCTAATCTCTGCGAGTGTTTTGGGAGCTCAAGCACTTAAGATCAAATTAAGTTCTACCTCATGAGAAGCCATTTGAAACTAATCAATATGGAGTTGATCTCTGATAAAAAATATACCTTAAAAATCTATGTGTACATCAGAAATTTTTTTAAGTTAAAAACACATTTATGATTTTAACTCTATAGCCTTGAATTAAAAAATAAAGATATAGCTGGGCACAGTGGCTCACGCCTGTAATCCCAGCACTTTGGGAGGCCGAGGCAGGTGGATCACCTGAAGTCAGGAGTTCAAGACCAGCCTGGCCAACATGGTGAAACCCCCATCTCTACTAAAAACATAAAAATTAGCATGGTGTTGTAGTGGGTGCCTATAATCCCAGCTGCTGGGGAGGCTGAGGCAGGAGAATCACTTTAACCTGGGAGGTGGAGGTTGCAATGACTGAGATCATGTCTCTGCACTCCAACCTGGGTGACAAAGTGAGACTCCATCTACAAAAATATATAAAAGGTATATACATTGTGAAAATTGAATAGTTCAGAGTCCTTTTGGGAAGAAATTATAGTTTCCTGACCACTCTTCCTCTATCTCCATTTCCATCCCCACAGCCAACATTTTAAAATGGCATTTATTGTAAGTTTCTAGTAATAACATCCATAATTATAAATACTTTTTTAAATTTGTGTCACTGTTAGACCACATGGAGGTAAATTTTTGTAGAGACAAGATCTTGCTATGTTGCCCAGGCTGTTCTCAAACTCCCAGTCTCAAGGGATTCTCCTACCTCTGTTTCCCAAAGTCACCTGGCTGCTTTGTTAAGTAACGCACTTCTACTTCCTGCTCTGTTTACTGCAGTCTATACTTGATTCTCTGTTCTATGAGAGGATATAAATATAGTACACTTGTCCTTGTTTTTTTTCACTCCCTCCTCTGTTTCCTTCCAACTGCTTCTTTCTTACAGCTATAATTTTGGTATTTTGTTTGAAAAATTATTGACATTTACATTATGTTCTGATCCCATAATAGAAACTTTCATCTTTTATCCATTGGTTGACTTGAAAAGCTGACAACTTGTAAACACCATTTTCATTACAGTATTATGACTATGTAAATATTATCCACCAGCTTAAGTAGTACTATATTCCCTTGTCTATACTACCTTTGCTACTGGCTTAGTTCCTAAGTAAGGTCAAGTAGATTCTCCTTTCCTATACCCAAGCTTGAGTCATATTTTTGTTTGCCTTGTGTGTGAACTACAACTTTATTGCAAAGGCTTAGTCTGCTCCTGATGGAGGAATTTCTGTTTGCTCAAATTGTATATGTCATCAAATATTTCTACGCTGTAAATTATATTTTTTATTGCACTTTATATTTTTTATTGGAGAATAACTTCCCTGAGTTATTTAACATCCCAAACCAATCTGAATCAGTGGTGCTGCTGAGACAGGAGAGTTCCCTGACCCCCACTTGCAGGACATGCAACTGGGGCATGGTTTATGTGTTTGGCCACCAAGCACTCAAAACCCTTACTAGAAGGGAAGCATGCAAACAGGCAGGTGCAGGAGCTGGGGCAAGCGTTCTGGGGCTCTGGCGCCATGATAGGGTCTAGGGGTAGGTGCCTGCAACTCCCAAAACCCAAGTAGGTATGGCATGTGTTACAGTATGCTCTTTTAGCTTTGCCATCTGCGGACGGCTTAAGTGTTAACCAGCTCAGTGGACCCTCTGCCTTTTTGCCAGGGCAGAGGGCCAGTGTGACAGCTTTCTGTATTCCAAGCTCTTGTCCAGCATCCCAGAAGAATTGAGTCACACACAACCTTGAAAGATAAATGTGGGGATTTTATTGAGTGATGGAGGTGGCTCTCTGTGGGATGGATGGGGAGCTGGTAGGGGGATGGAGTGGAAAGATGATCTTTCCCTGGAGTTGGCTGTCCAGTGGCCAAACTCCTCTCCCACCACCCTCAGCCAAACTCTGCTCGTTCAGACGCTCCTCCTCTTCTCTCTTTCTCTGCAGGGTTGTTCTGCCGTTCATCTGCTTGTCTCCTTGTCTGCTTGTCTTCTCATCTCCTGGAGCCTGGGTATGGGGTTTATATGGGTACAGTATAAGAGGGGTGTGGCAGGCCAAAAGGCAACTTTTTGGGTGTGAAAACAGGAATGCCTCTTCCCATTTAGGGGCACAGGTATGTAGTCTTGAGGGTGGGGCCTTTGCCAGGAAACTGCCCTCTTCTACCCAGTATTTCCCTGGTTCCTGTCTGTATCACAGCTATGCCTGCTACACAGCTGTCTTCTTGGGATTTAGGACTGTTTTCTTCGATTGGATTCCTGGCTTCCTTTACATAGCTTTCTGTTAAAGATAGCTCACTTTTTTCTTTTGTAAGAATTGGGTTTTAATTTTTTTAATTGACAATATATCCTCATTTGAGTTTTGGAATAAGATACTTTTTTAAAAAAAGGAAACATAGTACTAAACATTGGTAATGTGTGATTCCTTCTCTGTGGATTTTGGAGAAATATCTTTGGCAGCCTTTGCCACTAATGTTGCCTGGGGGTGAGACATATTCATTTACTTTTCCTTCATTAGAAAATCCATTAGTTATTTCTCTCAGTTAGATAATTACCAAATGGAACATCAATAAGTAGTTAATGAAACTTTTCAATAGTGATCATGAACTATGCTTCTTCTGTTTGCTAGCCTTCATTATTTTGCTCAAGATATCTTACATATATTTTCTCTCTTTCCATAGTCCTGCAACATAGGATTCATTTATATTTCATACTTGAGGAAACAGACTCAGAAGGTATATATAACTTACACAAGGACAAGTGTTTACTAAGTGGCAAGCTCTGATTAAACCCACGTCTGACATGTTCTTTCTTATAGGCAAAACTGCTTCTCTCAGAGTAGCCTTTGTTGGATTTTGGTAACAAAGATGAAAAGTTGTTCCTTGGCCTGTTATAATGTATATAAATATTGAAGCATTTGGGTAATTTCCAACTATTTTAATTACTCTCCCAAAGTAATCATTTTTTTTATCAGTATGGATCACTAGAAATATTCAGTTAGAGACAAATAGATGTTGGTTTAACTTTAAAGGAATATATCTCAGTTGGGAGATTTTATCCTTGTTAAGAATCACAACAGAAACTTTAGATATAATTTCCAAATGAAATTGTCATGTTTTAGTTTTCAAGCTTAGAGTGATATTCACATTCATGTCCCCACATTAAGAAATCAGAAAAAAAATTAAAGGATAGTCAATTTCTTAAGTCATCAAGATTCCTTGAAAAGAACTCTGTGCTCAGTGCTCTGTGCTCTGTGCTCTGTGCTACGTGTAAGATGATTGTTTCAGTGGAGATTTTTGTTACAAATGAAAACTGTGGGTTTTTTCTAGATCAGGGACTATAAAGAAGAAAAGTAAAGATATGTATTGGCTCCACATTTAGAAGAAAACTAAGAATATTATTTTTGAAAGTACAGGAATTCAGTTTATGTTATTCATACACCAGCCTCGGAAGTATCATTCTTTAAGACAAAGTTGTAGGTAATGGAGTGAAGGAAAGGAATCTGTGTTCAGATATATTCAGTTTTAGCTTGAAAATATTAAGCCCCAAGTAAGCCTTCTCTATGGAATTTCTGAAGAATTATCACAACTCCTTGATCTTTGACATTGTTTTCCCAGGAGGAATTACTGCAGTCATTATTAGACTATGTCTTTATGTCATCACCAACTCAGTTTCCCATATATCATGACCTTCTCCAAAGTTGCTATGACAACAGCATGATACTTACAACAAAGTAGCTAGTTAAAGCCAAGCCTATAAGCAGTAGGAAGCACTTGTAGAAATATTATTGTCTATTGAATTTTGAGAGCTTCCAGCTGTTTCCACAATTCCACAATTCTAATAAAATGTATTAAAATCTAGATTGCTTCCAGTATTGAATTATTTGGGCCAAGGATATACATATCGTATAACTATGATGCACAGAAAGCACAACATTCAAAATATTTACTGTAACTTAGAATCTAGTACTTTCATAGAACAAGTTACGGCATATTCTCATGGTGTTAAATAAGTGAGAAAAGAGAAAATCAAATGCTGATACTTTAAACTTCTCAAAGAAAGTGATCTAAAGTGATTTTCCAAAGAGAAATTAACCCTATGTAGAGCTTTTTGACCAGAACTCATTCTATGATGTAAATTAGGAGCCTCTTTCTTTTCATCTGTATGGATCCTTTTTGAGTAGCATGGAGGTTAACACTTGGGGTCACCATTAGTGAATCACTAACACATTTATTTACTCAAGTAATATTAAAAGTATTCCTAATATATGAATTTACAATGGTAATCAAGTTATTCTATCCTCTGGGAGCCTTGGTTTCATTCTTTATTTTCTCCAGTTTATAAAAAAAGAGATAAAGAAGAGAGATAAAAATAGGGAAGAGAAGGATTTGTAGCAAAGACCAAGAATCTTATCATAAATTCTTAGACTTGGATCCTAATTCTGAGTGAAATTTTCAAGTGTCACAACAGTTAAACCATTCATCATCTATAGCAGTGGTCCCCAACCTTTTTGGCACCAGGGACCAGTTTCGTGGAAGACAATTTTTCCATGGACTGGAGTTGGGGCAGGGGGATGGTTTCAGGATGATTCAAACACATTACATTTATCATGCACTTTATTTATATTATTATTACATTATAATATATAATGAAATAATTACACAACTCACCATAATGTAGAATCAGTGGGAGACCTGAGCTTACTTTCCTGCAACTTGACAGTCCCATCTGGGGCTGATGGGAAACAGTGACAGATCATCAGGCATTAGATTCTCAACAGGAGCACAAAACTTAGATCCCTCGTGTGTGCAGTTCACAATAGGGTTTGTGCTCCTGTGAGAATCTAATGCCGCCGCTGATCTGAGGTGGAGCTCAGGTGGTAATGTGAGCGATGGGGAACATCTGTAAATACAGATGAAGCTTCACTCATTCACTCGCCGCTCACCTCTTGCTATGCGGTTCAATTCCTAACAGGCCACGGACCAGTACCGGTCCATCGCCTGGACACTGGGAACCCTGACCTATAGGGTATGGCTATATAATTGTTCCTTGAAACTTTACAGACCACTTTGTGCTGGAGATGGTTTAGAACTCATGCCAAGGAAAGAGTACATGTGGGAATGTATTCTGAGTTCCATAGGAGATAGAAGAAAAAATAAAAAATCTTTATAATGCTGATCCTGTTTGCTTACAAATTGCATGAACTATTTCTACCAACAGTGTGTAATTAAACACATTTTACTTCGAAGACCATTTAAACTGGTATCTATAAGAAGTGCAGCATTTGACAGAGTCTCTAAGGTAAAATCCTCCATAGATTATTTCTCACTTAAGGATTGTAGATGGTACCTTCATTATGTTTTGTTTCAACTTCAAAGTACCTGAGGATTGTCACTTCGTTTCTCCTTTTCAAAAATAAACAACACAATGCAAACAGTTCCAAAATTTGGGGTTTAAGATGGACGTGCCAAATTTCTTATAAGACCCATTGCAATCAATAATGCATTATGAAAAACAATTGTTATTTATAATTGAAAACAAATGTCATGAGGTCCACATAGAAAACCTCTGAATTGTTTTTGGTTTTGCTTTTATGATCTTGGTAACATTAAATCAAGGAATAATACTCTGTCACAGCCTGCAAAGCAAATCCAATTCCAGAAAGCATTAGTTAGCACGAAGTATGGATTTTACTAGAGGATGTTGTGGGTAGACTGAAGAAAAAAGGTGCAATGTGGTACCTTAACAATACTTGCTCAAAATTCCCATTAAACATTTCCAACCTCCTCCAGGAATTCTTCTTTAGCCAAAATCCACTTCAACCACATCTTTCCTACTGCTTCCCAGCCTCCTCCTTTCCTGCTTATAGCCATTTCTTGATTACAGATATGCTCTTGTGTTAGCTTTCTTTAGCTACTCTTCTTTTGTATTCTCCCACTTATCATCCAGTTCAGCAAGCAACGCTTCCTAGCCAGGATCAACTCACTTCAGAAGAAAGCAGGGGATTACATATTAAAACAAAAATATATAAGCATTTTGTTGTAGTTTGAAAGAGTAAACTATTCTCTTTTCTTAACACACCCAGAGAAATGCGAACAGCAATGAAAAATACATGAAGATGACATCAATTTGAGTTATTTCTAGTTCTGTTTCCTGTAATGCATGATAAATTTCAACTAATCTGCTCTATGGGAAAAACATTTCAAACCAATTTTCTTCATTTGACTGGCAAAACAAAGGATGATCTATTTTTCTTCTGTGCACTAATACAGAAAGCAACCATGCTTTCATTTTCAAGCCAATAAATACAAAATGACTCATTAATTCGAGGGTAAGTGGTACTATGAACCAGTTTTAGAGCCTTTGGGATTTGCACAGCTGTAGAAGTTCTGTGTGTACACTTTTTAGTAAGCGCTGTTATAAAATCCAACTCAAACTAGTTTCAGCAAAAATGGAGAATTTATTGGAATGATACTGAATGATGCTGGAACAGCTCATACAGTTGAAGGGAAAACTTCCAGAACATAGCAACCAAGGAAACTCATGACTTGATCATAGAAACTGACTTCCAAGATTCTCTACATTTTTGTCTTTCATTTATGCGATTTTATAAGATGGGAACATGACAGCCAGAAGCTCTGGTGTCACATTTATGTCTGAAGAAGAAAAAGGGCTCTACCTGGCTCTACCTTGCTCTACCTTAGGAAAAGGGCATGGATGACCTGATTTGTCCAACTTGTTTAGCAACCAAACCTGAAGAAAGTCATTGCAGGAAAAGATAAAGATGCAGTGCATAACCCAGGCACACATTCACCTCTTCAGTGAGGGGAGGAGGCTCTTGTTATAACCTAAGTTGCAGAGGCAATTGTACCCAGTACAGTTACTGGGCAGTCAAAACCATAATTGTCACAAGGGTCATACTTGTATTTAGGATAGCTATTCTTATGGTACATTTACTAATGGCTCAAAGAGCATTTTTAAAAATTTTACAATATGGTGCAAAACAAATTTTTGGTGGAAAATGTGGAGGTTTAACATTTTAATGTGCTACACATGGCTGTTTTAGTTTCCATCTCAAACTGGGAAATATTTTCATAAGTTCTTTATAATGTGTGTTGAGATGATCATTGCCGAATCACACTATTCTTATTTACCTTCTTGGCTCCATCTGTTTTTTCTTGCAAAGAGAATCCTGTTCATGTTGAAAATAGATTATTTTTTGAGGCCCTAATTATGTACAAGAGGAAACACAGCTGTGAATTTATCATTGTTTAAGAGGTTTTCATGTATGGTATTTCATTATAAGTACACATTTACATGGTGGTAGTTGCCATACAGAAAAAATAATGGTCAGTAATCCTACATTCTGTTATGGTTGCCACTGACAATGATAACTTTGTAGGTCACATAGAGATACGTATATATAGATAATTTTAGATTCATTTGAGAAGCTAATGAGAACTCTAGAAGCCTGTGCTTACACTACTGGCTAGAGGAGGCCATGGGGTATCTTAAATTAGGTGTAGTAATGATTTACCCCGAAGAGGGATTTTAGAGCTAATTCAAAGGATTAAAAGAAAATGCTAAAGAATTAAGCAGAAAAGAATATGTATCTGGAAATACTATATTTGGTCTTTCCTTAAATAAGTAAATAAATAAATATATTAAAATTTCTCACATAAGTTCATTTAACTGAGACAGAATTGGGAGAATTGTTCACTGCTCTCAGCAAAATACCATAAAAAAGGGTGGTCGTTATATTTTTAAAGTATAATAATATTGCTTTAAATATTTACAGTAGTTAAAGTAATGAATTGAGGGAGAAAAAAACAAACAAATCAGTTTTTATGTAATGTCTCCTATGTACCAGGCACCCTGCTAGTACTTAGATTGGTAATTTAAACCTTATATGTATCTGAGGGGTAGATTATTCTCCTTTCAAGGATATCGGAATGAAGGCTTCAGAGATTAAGCAGTTAATCAAAGGAGCACATCTATTAAGCACAAGGACCAATATTCAAACCATATTTGCAAGTTATCTATTCATTTATTCGGCCAATATTTATTGAACACCAATAAGAGCCCAGGTTCTAATCTAAGAGCTAGGAATATAGTAGGGGAAAAACAACATCAAAAGACCAGAACTCCTGCCCTAGTGTAGCTTAAATGAAAATGTCATGAATAGGGCCCTGATTGTAAGGTTTATCTACGTATGGACACACATCAACCAGTATGCCTGGTCCTTCATTGACTCAACCCCTATATTCTCACAGAATTCATATCAAATTGAGAAAGCCCGGACTTGTGTCTGTTCTTGAGCCATTAATTAGTGAAGTTCTTCCATCTCACTTTATTCTCTGACTTGATCTCTGCTTTGAACCCCAATAAGAAATCAAGAGTCAGAATCCTTGGACAACTATTTGGTCAGTCTAAATTATGTTTCTGCTTAATGTCTGATTCTTGCTTCTGATTTTGGGTCTTGCTTACAATTTCAGTAGAGAGAATTCTGTGATTCTAGTTTTAGCTGTGACTTAAATACATAAATCGTGTTTGATTCCATGGAATAAACCCAAGAGGCATTTTGTCTGTTTTCAGAAAATGCTGACATTTCCTAAAGTGAATTGCAAGAAGAGGCCTTTTAAATTCTAGTTTATACTTTTCCCCCAAATTTACTAGAATCATACGAATGTGACCAAAAACATGCTAAGGAATTGTGGATGTGGATCAAATGTAAAGTTGTTGACTAATTCTACCTTGGGGAGAAGGGATGGTTAACCAGATTTAGAGAGATGGAATTACTTGACAAGAGTCACATAGTCAGATAGTGGCAAAAAGATTTCTAAAACTCAGTTTGTTTGCTTGTGTTTTGTTTGTTTGTTTGTTTTTGAGATGGAGTCTCTCTTTGTCTCCCAGGCTGGAGTGCAGTGGGATGATCTCAGCTCACTGCAACCTCTGCCTCCCAGGTTCAAGCAATTCTCTTGCCTTAGCTTCCTGAGTAGCTGGGACTGCAGGTGCAAGCCACCACGCTGGGCTGATTTTTGTAGTTTTAGTAGAGACGGGGTTTCACTATGTTGACCAGGCTGGTCTTGATCTCCTGACCTCGTGATCCACCTGCCTCAGCCCCACAACGTATTGGGATTACAGGCATGAGCCACTGCGCCCGGCAAAACTCAGTTTTTGATTCAAAGTTAAGTGTTTTTTTTAAATTGCCAAACAATTTCTTTTTATTTTTTAAGGTTTCAAATGTACTTTACTTGTTCAATAATGTCATATTTTAATAAGAACACAGTGTTTTTATTTGGCATCAACCATGAGTTGGTTTTGAGACAATTCAGTATTATTACATCAGCTAATTATTGATTTTTCCATTCCATTGGAGTGGCTTTGCTAACAGGGGACAGTTTCCACTGTATTCCAATTTGTGTTGAAGTGTTTGTGCATAGATATACAGGAGTGGCTCCACTCGCTAATACAGCACTCCTGTATTTGTCATGAAAATCAGGTATAGGTTTCTGATGGCTCTGCCTTGTGATTGTTTTGATGGATGCTTTAAACTCAGAGGCAAAATAATTCATTTTTGGCTAAGGGAAACGTTGTGAAGGTGAAGATGAAACTACAGCAACTTTGGCTATTGATTTGGTGCAACTTTGTGTCAGGTTACCTTATTTTTTGTTGTGGTTTTTTTAGTGGTTTGTGTGTGTGTGTGTGTGTGTGTGTGTGTGTGTGTGTGGTGGTGGTTGTGGTCAAAAAGACATAACCTGAGATCTACCCCTTTAACAGATTTTTAAGTGTATCATATTGTTAATCATAAGCACAAAGTTGTATAGCAGAACTCCAGAAATGTCTCATCTTGTATGAATGATATTCTATAGTCATTGAACAACAACTCCCAATTTTCCTTTCCCCGATTCCCTGGTAATCACCATTTTACTATCTAATTCTATGAGTTTGACTACTTTAGATATCTCATAGAAGTGAAGTTATGGCCGGACTTGGTGGTTCACGCCTGTTATCTCAGCACTTTGGGAGTTCGACGCAGGTGGATCACTTGAGGCCAGGAGTTTAAGACCAGCCTGGCCAACATGGGGAAACTCCATCTCTACTAAAAATACAAAAATTAGTGGGGTTTGGTGGCACATGACTGTAATCCCAGCTACTCGAGAGGCCGAGGCAGGACAATTGCTTGAACCCAGGAGGCAGAGGTTGCAGTGAGCCAAGATGGTGCCACTGCACTCCAGCCTGGGTGATAACAGCGAGATATTGTGCCAAAAAAAAAAAAAAAAAAAAAAAGATGTGACTCCTTCAATTTCGTTCTTTCATTCTTTTCCAGAGTTATTTGGCTATTGTGAGTCCCTTGCATTTTATATAAGCTTTAGGAGGAGATTATCAATTTGGCAAGAAAGGCAACTGAGATTTTGAAAGAGATTGTACTGAATCTATAGATTAATTGAAAGAATATAGGTTCTCAACAATAAGTCTTTTCTGATTTATAAACGTGTTATACTTCTTTTTATTTAAATCTTCAATTTCTTCTAACAATGTTTTGAGACTCTCTGTATCAATCTTGTACTTCTTTTTTTTAAGTTATACCTAAGTATTTTATTCTTTTTGATTCTATTATAAAGAAATTGTTTCTTTAAGTACATTTTCAGAATTTCATTGCAAGTATGCTGGTTTTATATTGATCTTGTATCCTACAATGTCAACTATTTTTATAAGCCAAATTCTACAATACATGTTCTCTATTCATGAGTATTTTAATTCTGTTCTGAATAGAATATAAATTCAGTAAAAAGTGTGCTCTATCAAAGATTCTCCATATATATTAAAATATTCCAAAATATTATTATAGGATTTAAAATTAAATCTTGCACAGCATTCAAGTGTCATTGTATAATTTATTCAGTTCATCTTTTGTTTTTAGAAATAAATTTCAAACTCTATCTTTCTGCAAGCATTGTTTTCAAGACCTACAAATCACTAAAAACTTCAAAAGCTAAACTTTTTTCATGCTCTATCAATGAATAATTTCATGAAAGATTTAAAATTGATTGAAATGGCAACCAAAATTTAGAAGTTTACAAAAATGTTCAATATCATTGTAGGACAGATGATTTTTTTTCAAAGATTCCTGAAATCTGATTGAGAACAACAGACAATGAGAAAGTGAGTATTTTTATGCTGAAGTGATTTTGGTATTCAGTATTAACTTTGTCTTAGAAATACTGTAGTTCAGTTACTATGTATAAATAAAGATATTCTTATGTTTTGACATTTACAGCTTCTACTTCAATTATTAGAATAGCACAACCTGTTTGCATGCTGCATTAATTACGCACTAATTACCTTAAGTGTTTGATTGCTGAAAGGACTTACAGACCCTAAACATTATATTTATAGAATAGTTTTATTACAGGCTAAGATAGAGTATAGTAACCGCAGGCAAACAGTATTCCTTGAAAGGGATCTGAAACAATCTCAAGTTCAGTCTTTGTCCTCACACTGCTGGATCACACAGGATGCTTTTTGTTTTCCATTATTGAATGATCACCAGCAGATATGTGAAACTTTGATTACCAGGAAGCCCAATGTCTGCTTGTGGTGAGGATCTTTTATAGTGAGCTGGCTACCTAGGCACATTTCTGCTATGCAATCAGCTGCAGCCATCAAAACCCCTAGGTCCCAACAACACCAAAGGCAATTGCAGTTAGATAGACTGCTAAATCAAATCACTATACCTAAACAATGCTGACAGGCTGGTATGCCCTACCTTTGAAACAGCTCATGAACCGACGGTTACAGAACATTATTTGTCTAGTTAAAATATTTTATAGTGTTGGCCAATGGTCAATACCTTGCTCCAGGCAACTCTGGAGTAAAGCATGCAGTCAACCAAGACCACCTGAGATTCAATTGTGCAATGTAGTCCAATGTAGTGACACTCAGTCAAGGTCTTTTTATAATAAATTGTTCTTTATCTACACTAGTAGAGTTACATCTTTCACACTAGTGATATAGCAAGCAAGTCAACAAAGTACCAATGATTATTTTTATAATAACTCAGGTGTGGATGGCTGGGCACAGTGGCTCATGCCTGTAATCCCAGCACTTTGGGAGGCCAAGGTGATCCTGGCTAACAAGGTGAAACCCCGTCTCTACAAAAAGTACAAAAAAATTAGCCAGGCATGGTGGTGGGCGCCTATAGTCCCAGCTACTCGGGAGGCTGAGGCAGGAGAATGGCATGAACCTGGGAGGCAGAGTTTGCAGTGAGGCGAGATCACGCCACTGCACTCCAGCCTGGGCAACAGAGCGAGACTCCATGTCAAAAAATAATAACAAAAAAAAATAAAAACAAAACTCAGGTGTGGATATCTACATTAAAAGGCAGATCAACCATCCTATAATTCCTTCATGTTGCCTCATGTTTTTGTATCAGTTTAACATCTCTCTTGCTACTTTTTCCTATTGTAATTTTGACTCTGTGATCAGTGTGTGCTGATTGATTTAAAACCATGATTAACTGATTTGTTAATTAAATCTAACTCCTCTTCAGAATAATCATCTTCCACTGGGATCAGTTATTGAGGAGGTTTGAATTCCTCAAACATTTGGTCATTTATATCTGTATTATTGTAGGTCTTACTGACAACTATCAAATCGGCCTCACCAATAATTTACAGGATGATTATAGATATCAGACATATAGTTATAAAACAACTCACAAATTAAGACTGTATTATTCATTCACTGTCCCTTCCAAACAAATAGGACCCTTTCCATATAAAATATTATTTTGTACTAGGGTATAACTAAAAGCAATGTGTGATTGAGTTTGGGATTCCGTGTATTCTGTGCACATAATCAGACACATATTCAGATACCTTCTGTCGTCTTACAAGACTGAATTGAAATGAATTCCCAGTGGAAGGGGTCTTTTAAGATGGACCATCAACTTCCCATTAGGAGTGTGTGAGTAAAATTTATCTACTATCTGTACAAATTATACAGTCAAGTATGTCTTATTCTGGTTTATTCGTGGTGCCAAAGCAGTTAATGGACACTGATGCAAATTATAGTCTCCATTTAGAAACTCTCATAAATTAGAGGACCTAACTGTTTTCCATAAATGGAATCACTGTGACTTGACATTCAGTGTGCCAGGTAAATGGACATGGGCCACTTCTGCTTCCATTTGAAATCATATATCAAAAAGCCGTGCTTGGGTTAGAGCACAAGTTATTTCCCACCATTGTGTTCCAGCATGTTGTCTTAAAGTTTATTCCATTTGATAACCCCATTTTCACACCATGGAGCTTGCTATCATTTGCCTACTCACTGGTATGGGATACCCTGGAGACATCCTATTCCTGCATGAAGGGCTGAGTAACTGATTTCATTAACAACATATTCTGTATGTTCTAATATTCCTAGGGCTGATCCTATTTCTCCCAAAGCTCCTTTTGTTCTGGAAGGCCAAAGTTTTTAAATTCATTATATATGCTGTTACCACTATGTGCTAATTGCTTGGGTATAATTGTAAAATATATTTTGTAGCCCAAATCATTGTGTTTCTGGGGAAAAATTTATACAGATAGTGGTTACTCCCAAACGTCCCTTTGTTTGTGTGTACCAGAGGGTCTCCTATAGGCAACATCTCCAGAATCCAGGTATTTTAGAATCCAACATATGAACCCACCATGTAATCCCCATGGATTGATTGATCTCAATAACCCACATGTTTTTTTTCATCTTTTCTTTAATGCTTTTAATCCAAAAAAACAGGGTAAAAAACTCTTCTGGCAATAACACTGACATACCAGGCAAATGACAGATAGCTTTTCACATTTGTAACCTGGTACTTTCCCTAACACTTCACTATGAAATTTACAGTTACAAAATGATTCCCAGCCCCATTACAGACCAGGGTATTTAACGGTTGATCAGGAGGAAGAAATTTCTGTAAATTACATTCCTATATGGAAACCCCAATAGTAAATGTATCTTTTAAATGTGAGCCAAAACAGAGAGCCATGTTAGAGCTATTCAGTATAACCATCATTCGGGTTTGCTTTGTTTCATATTGCATTGAAGCATTTGTCTTAGTCACCCCCATAACCTTAGTACTCAGGTTGGCTGCCTCCCAGTTAAGATAATTTTGTTTTAGTAATGGCAGAGGCTTTGGAAAACAAAGTGCTTCACCCATATAGGCATTTGAATGTAAGCTAAGAGAGAAAGCTATTTGCTCTAAGCTTGTCTTGAGGAACCAAAGTTATGCTTGATTTTCTGTTTTGAAGACACCATTGGTTAGTTCCTTCAGACTCAGCCATTATTTCACCTTCTTTCCATTTGTGGCTAGTTTGACCCAAATTTTCTCTCTCTACATTGGCATATCGTGTTTATCCATGAAGCTGGTCCATATTTCTGGAATATAAAATACCTCAGGCTGGGCATGGTGGCTAATGCCTGTAATCCCAGCACTGTGGGAGGCCAAGGCAGGAAGATTGCTTGAGTCCAGGAGTTTGAGGTCAGCCTGGGAAATACAGTGAGATCCCATCTCTAAAAAACAAATTTAACAAAAAACATACCTCAACAATTTTATTTTTCTGAATTTAGCATCTGATCTTGGGAAGGGAACATTTTTACACTGGTCATTTGATGAAGTCCAGAACATAGGTGACTGAGAACAATGTATGACTGCAGCTTGGTTACTTATTAACCAGAGTACCAATGCAAGGATTTAAAATACATATAGCAAAGTCATATCATTATAAACAACTTTAGCTCTTTTGAGTAAATTTTCCTTCCTTTTTTCTTTGGCCTTTCCTCCCTTCTTTCCCTCCCTTCCTCTCCCACTTACTCAGAATTTAAGAACCCCAAGCTATTGAATTGCTTAAAGACATATAGACTCCTTCAAGTTCTTTACTTTACCTTTCCAAGCTTCTACAGACCTTCAAAGATTTCACAGCAGTGCCATAAACAAGATATTATTATACACAAACTTCCGGTCTCTATACTAAAAATGGGTGTCCAACCAAGTCTACTTAGCTCTCACCTGGAGATAAGAAAAATATCACAACTTCTAGCAACAACCTAAAGAGAGTATTTAGACTCAGCTCTGGAGGATAATAACCAGAATAGTGAGGCCTTAACTTATAATTTCCAAATAGTAATCTGACAAGACTTATAGAACTCAAGTTTTCAGTTTTTTTTTTTTTTTTTTTTTTTTTTGAGACGGAGTCTCGCTCTGTCGCCCAGGCCAGACTGCGGACTGCAGTGGCGCAATCTCGGCTCACTGCAAGCTCCGCTTCCCGGGTTCACGCCATTCTCCTGCCTCAGCCTCCCGAGTAACTGGGACTACAGGCGCCCGCCACCGCGCCAGGCTAATTTTTTGTATTTTTAGTAGAGACGGGGTTTCACCTTGTTAGCCAGGATGGTCTCGATCTCCTGACCTCATGATCCACCCGCCTCGGCCTCCCAAAGTGCTGGGATTACAGGCGTGAGCCACCGCGCCCAGCCCTTCAGTTTTTAATTTTTGAAATACAAAGACATATTAGGTAAATAGTTACATGCAAGTCTGAAAGAGTACAATCTGCTCTGTTCCCAGACAAAAACAAAAACTTCCAAACCCTACAGATCAGTCGTAGCAGCTCAGGAATCCAGAAAGTCAGGGAGACACAAGGACAGTTTTCAAAGGCATGTTTATCAGGATGTTCCTTAATCCACAGGCTGCCCTTCCATCCAGTGGATTCTCCTGATAGAAGCAGATTTTAGAAGACTTTCCAGAACTGCCAAAAATATAATCTTCAAAATGTTATAAATCATAATTCCCAAACCTAATGAGGAAGTATTAAAGTTCTATTTAACTTATAATGAAGGAACCAGCCCGTTCAAAAGAGCATAAGAGAGATCTACATATGAATGGTCAGTGAAAGAAAAAAGAAATAGAAAGGGAGATACAAAATTGGTTAAAGGCCTGCAGGGCATCAAAAGTATTACCTTAATTCCAGCACTTTTGGACACTGAGTCAGAAGGATTGTGAGAGTTCAGGAGTTCAAGACCAGCCTGGGCAACATGCTGTCCCTACCAAAGAAAAAAAACAAATTTTCCAGTCATGGTGGTGTGCAGCTGTAGTCTTAGCTACTCAGGAGGCTGAGTCAGCAGAGAGGATCACTTAAACCGAGGAGTTTGAGGTTGCAGTGAGCTGTGACTGAGCCACTGCATTTCAGCTGGGTGACAGAGCAAGATCCTAAATCTAAAATCAATCTGCCTATCTATCTATCTATCTATCTATCTATCTATCTATCTATCTATCCATCTATCTATAAAATCTTTGGGTTTATTTTCTCTATCAGACAAAAATAACATGTTTATAGCAAATAAAAATAATTTTTATCTTATCAGTTTTCTACAAATTAATATCTGAGATTACAGAATTATAGTATGTTCGGGTCCTCAATAGTAGTAAGTAGGAAGTCAAACAAATATTTGTTCCCTTAGAGTCAGATGATACTCAGGGTTACTAGAAAACCTTTATATTAACAATAAGGATTATACAGTCATGCTTTTGTCTTATGAATTTTGGATAATTTTTCTTAACATCTCACAAGGCCAGAATAGGCTGACCATTTCCCTGTCCTGGAGTTGAGGGAGATGTATACTGATGGTAAAGGAACTGGCTCGCCCTTGGATGGAATTGAGGATCTCCGATTTTATGTAAAATTGTTATTTTGAATTATTATTATTCAAGAGGTGGCTTCAATATTTTGCAAGTAAATGCTCCTTGGTCAAAATTATAGGCTTATTTTTGTTCCCTGAAAACAGTATACACCTTTTTAATGGTGAGATCTTATTTTTATTGTTGGTTAACTCCTGCATAACAAAACAGAGTACAAATTTTGAGACAGGAATAATACAGGGTGGTTGCAGGAGATTAGAAAATTCTGGAAGCAGTTTCATATGACTAGCAAAAGGAAACTTCTGAAATAGTTGCAAAAGCTATGAAATGATAAGACCCTGAAAAACCAGAGTGTGAACTAAGCTGGCTAAGACTGACTGGACCCAACATGGCACTGGATTTGACCTAAGTTTCACCTAGGACCGCATTATATGCTCATTAACATACTAAATCACACACGAATCAGTGCCATGACAGTTCAGAGAACACCCATATTTGTTTTAAAAATGGGTGACACCACAGTTCCAAGAAATCGCTACCTTTTTCCAGAAATGTTCACGAATATTCCACTTCATGGTTAAAGAAACCCATAAAGCTAGCAGCCCCTTGTATGTGACTCTCTCTTGAGTACGCCCACACTCCTTTTTCTTGAGTGTGTACTTTTCCCTTTGCAATAAATCTCTGTACTTTCATTACTTTCAGACTCATACTTGAATTCATTCTCCTGACAGTGTTAAGAGCTTAGACACTGGCTGGGATCAAGGTCTCACCTGCATCTGGGGTCCTCCCCCAGCCCACTAGAATCAGTTTTACTTGCCATTTCTACCATAGGGTTTTCTTACCCTTTTTACGAAATAACAGATTTTAGCATTGTTGCTTGACTTTTAAGGTAAAATTCTCCAAAATGTTTTAATAATTTTAAATAGAAAAAAGAATAAGATGTAATTGGTAATTCTACATCCCATGGTAAGTTACATTTTTTTTTTTTTTGAGACAGAGTCTCGCTCTATCACCCAGGCTGGAGTGCAGTGGTGCGATCTCGGCTCACTGCAAGCTCCATCTCCCAGGTTCACGCCATTTTCCTGCCTCAGCCTCCCGAGTAGCTGGGACTATAGGCGCCCGCCACAACGCCCGGCTAATTTTTTTTTTGTATTTTTAGTAGAGACGGGGTTTCACCATGTTAGCCAGGATGGTCTCGATCTCCTGACCTCGTGATTCACCCGCCTTGGCCTTCCAAAGTGCTGGGATTACAGGCATGAACCACTGCGCCCGGCTGTTAAGTTACATTTTGAGGTTACATCATTCTATGTTAATAAAACCTAGAACAATGCGATTTATTAAGATTATCTCCTCATGTTTGTAAATGTTAATAAGCTGCAGGAAAACAAAAACAAAAACAAAAAGAATACAACCTTTTTATTTTAAGGAAATTAAGTCTCAGCATTTTAGCCTTGTTCATAGAGGTCTCCTAAGAATGATTTGCCAAGTCACTATCTCACACTAAAGACAATGGGATGCTATCTTTTAATTCACAGCTACTTAGCAGAGTGTTTTACTAACTCCCTTATGTTACCCTGGAAACACATGTTCCTGTAAAGGATGTTTTTTGTTATACATTAAGCTTAGTTCAATCTGGCTATCATTCTGAAATCTCAATGAGTCAAGAGCGTGAAGTACTCAGAGGCATGTCATGGAATGTAGTTGTAAAATGAATGTATTTGCAGTTCACATTCTCTGTAGAAGTCCTTCTAAGCCAAACTATTACGCTTTTCAAAGTAGAGAGAAACACTTCTTTTAGAAAGAAAATATGTTATTAATCATTACTTGACAGCAATTATTTTAGGCACAATGACATTCTGTGTCTTGGAACAATTCAGATTTTTTCCCACTAGTAACACAGTTACAGTGCAATGTTTCTCCCTAGTAAGTATGCAAGAAATGGGATCGTTTCTTTGCAAGGCAAAATACCCATGTGCTTTCTCCATGAAACCTAAATTTCAGTAAGAAGTTAGGTATTTAAACATTAACATCGTAGATCACTGTTTTAAGACACTGCCACTCTTTTTCTTCCTGTTCTTTGTTTGCCTGTTTTTATTAGATATTTTAACTATCTAATTTTTAAGCAGCAAGCAGCTTGAAAACTGGAAAGGAGTCTGGTTATTTAAAAGTGCAGATTTCCTCACACTAATCAACTTGACTTTTTTCAATGATGAGGGTTTCTGTTATTATGTTTAATCTCTCTTCCATTCACTCGTTTAACAAAAAACTAATAAACATTTATTCTATGCCAGATATAGTAATAGATACTAATGATGGGAAAGGAACATTTTTATGAAGAAAATATGTCCTTGGTTTCTAGAAACTCATAGTCCAGTGGGAGCTAATACAGGATTCCTTGAATGTAAATGGTGTTCTTCCCAAAATAACTCTTCTACTTGTTTACTTGTTGTGCTGATCTTGTGAACAGGATTAAAGAAAGTCTAATCTTCCCTCAGTGGTCAGGAAAGGAGTTGCAGTGATAATACATGTATTGCTCTAGGAGAATTCAAATGTCAGACCAAGAATGGCTGCCTCATACTTTCCCCAGCCACCGTATCACAGACTGCAGCTTGAAGTGATTGCCCCTCCTCATTTAAAAGGCTAATCAAGACTGACCAATAACAGACAGAGAGCCAAATCATGAGTGAATTCCCATTCACAGTTGCTTCAAAGAGAATAAAATACCTAGGAATCCAACTTACAAGGGATGTGAAGGACCTCTTCAAGGAGAACTACAAACCACTGCTCAATGAAATACAAGAGGATACAAAGAATGGAAGAACATTCCATGCTCATGGGTAGGAAGAATCAATATCGTGAAAATGGCCATACTGCCCAAGGTAATTTATAGATTCAATGCCATTCCCATCAAGCTACCAATGACTTTCTTCACAGAATTGCAAAAAACTACTTTAAAGTTCATATGGAACCAAAAAAGAGCCCGCATCGCCAAGTCAATCCTAAGCCAAAAGAACAAAGCTGGAGGCATCACTCTACCTGACTTCAAACTACGCTACAAGGCTACAGTCACCAAAACAGCATGGTACTGGTACCAAAACAGAGATATAGATCAATGGAACAGAACAGAGCCCTCAGAAATAATGCCACATATCTACAACTATCTGATCTTTGACAAACCTGAGAAAAACAAGCAATGGGGAAAGGATTCCCTATTTAATAAATGGTGCTGGGAAAACTGGCTAGCCATATGTAGAAAGCTGAAACTGGATCCCTTCCTTACACCTTATACAAAAATTAATTCAAGATGGATTAAAGACTTAAACATTAGACCTAAAACCATAAAAACCCTAGAAGAAAACCTAGACATTACCATTCAGGACATAGGCATGGGCAAGGATTTCATGTCTAAAACACCAAAAGCAATGGCAACAAAAGCCAAAGTTGACAAATGTGATTTAATTAAACTAAAGAGCTTCTGCACAGCAAAAGAAACTACCAGCAGAGTGAACAGGCAACCTACAAAATGGGAGAAAATTTTCGCAACCTACCCATCTGACAAAGGGCTAATATCCAGAATCTACAATGAACTCCAACAAATTTACAAGAAAAAAACAAACAACCCCATCAAAAAGTGGGCGAAGGACATGAACAGACCCTTCTCAAAAGAAGACATTTACGCAGCCAAAAAACACATGAAAAAATGCTCATCATCACTGGCCATCAGAGAAATGCAAATGAAAACCACAATGAGATACCATCTCACACCAGTTAGAATGGCAATCATTAAAAAGTCAGGAAACAACAGGTGCTGAAGAGGATGTGGAGAAATAGGAACACTTTTACACTGTTGGTGGGACTCTAAACTAGTTCAACCATTGTGGAAGTCAGTGTGGCGATTCCTCAGGGATCTAGAACTAGAAATACCATTTGACCCAGCCATCTCATTACTGGGTATATACCCAAAGGACTATAAATCATGCTGCTATAAAGTCACATGTACACGTATGTTTATTGCGGCACTATTCACAATAGCAAAGACTTGGGACCAACCGAAATGTCCAACAATGATAGACTGGATTAAGAAAATGTGGCACGTATACACCATGGAATACTATGCAGCCATAAAAAATGATGAGTTCATGTCCTTTGTAGGGACATAGATGAAATTGGAAATCATCATTCTCAGTAAACTATCGCAAGGACAAAAAACCAAACACCGCATGTTCTCACTCATAGGTGGGAATTGAACAACGAGAACACATGGACACAGGAAGGGGAACATCACACTCTGGGGACTGTTGTGGGGTGGGGGGAGGGGGGAGGGATAGCATTAGGAGATTTACCTAATGCTAAATGACGAGTTAATGGGTGCAGCACACCAGCATGGCACATGTATACATATGTTACTAACCTGCACATTGTGCACATGTACCCTAAAACTTAAAGTATAATAATAATAAAATAAAATAAGAAAAGACTGACCCCCTCATGCCTTACACTTCAGTCTATCTTGATTATCTAGAGAAGCCCAAGGCTCCCAGGCCATCCACTTTCCCTAGGTCTCTAATTCCCAATATTTCTATGTACCCTCTATTGTAACTACCAATCCCTGAAAAACCCTTTCACTTACTTCTATGCTTTTTTTTTTTTTCTGAGAGAGGGTCTCACTCTGTCATCCAGGCTGGAGAGCAATGGTGCAATCACGGCTTGCTGCAACCTCTACTCGCTGGGCTCAAGCGATCCTCCAACCTCAGCCTCCCAAGTAGCTGGGACAATAGGCACACACCACCACACCTGGCAAATTTTTTGTATTTTTGGTAGATACGAGGTTTTGCCATGTTGGCCAGGCTGGTCTCCAACTCTTGAGCTCAGGCAATCTGCCTGCCTTGGCCTCCCAGCGTACCAGGATTACAGGCATGAGCCACTGCCCCAGCCATCACTGTGCCTTCCTAAACTTCAGAGTTTGTGATCAGCAAAGTCTCTTATTAGATCTTCATTCCTTTTCTGAAATTCCTCTGACTCCTTGCCTTCTGCAAGCTTTCTCTAATGGCTTTCAAATGCAGGCAGTTTTCTCTCTCACAAACTTAGGGTAATTTAGGGCCAGGAGGTGGGATAGGTATTCTACTGGCTAACCATTGTCTCTTCCTGATTCTTATTTTAAACAAAATAACTCTTGAAATTCATGTCATGTCATAGAACCAGCTGTAAATCCTCACTGATGCCATCCCCAAACCACCACATCCTTTACATTCTTATGTTGAAAATTTTCTTCCTCTCCACGCAACCCTATCATTTTCTGAATGACTTTATTATTTCACGAATGACTGATCTTGGACCCTGAAGATACTGGTCAAATCAGAAAATCCCTGTATGTCACTTAAGCATGTGAAAGATTTATTCCAGGGTAACAAATGACTTGAAGAACCATTGTGAAATCTGGAGGAAATGACCTACTAAATTAACAATGACTCCAGGATGGACCTCCAAAGGATCTGTTGCCCTTCTCTAATTAGGAAGCTATCACCTCCAGATCCACCCAATCACCATCACGATAAAGACGCTACCACTACAAGGAGATCTTCAATAATTCAACAGCTATGATTTGCACCAGAAAAAATGAGTGTACTGTTCTCTGCCTCTTGACACTACAAAGCTAGTGATTGGATGCTGGACCTTGGCCAACACTGCCTCCACAAACCTGCTGGCCAAGAGAAATAGAAACATCAAAAGCATGTTATCTGCCTCGGTTCTGCCTTCCAAAAATCAGACTAACAAAAAAACATCACAGTGAAATGTCCTCATGTTTCATTTCCAACACCAGACCCATAGACTACATGCAATTTTACAGATCTTCTCAGCCTTTCTTCCTGTAAGAATGCAATAAGGACCTCTTTTTTAAATAAAATCAAATTCCTATGCTTGAGCTCTGAACCCTACCTTTTCTTTATTTCTCAGAGGCTTCTCTCTTTGAAGTCATGTGTCTCCTCTATAGTGATTAATTCCCATCCTTTACATGAATGTCCTATAGAATCACCATATTAAAAAACAAAAATCTCACTTGACCCTCACAATGATATCCTTTCTGTTCCTCAAATATGGCAAACCCCTTCTGCCCTCCTATCATTTGCTCACGTATATCTATCTTACCTTGGAATATTTTCCTTAGTTCTTTGCATGCCTGGCCTATTTTTTTTTTTATGCAGCTAATGTCCCAGTTCAAATTAATCAGAGAGGCCTTCCCTGATCTCCCTGTCTCCCACATCCACCTTCTCCAATTACTATCCCATCATACTGTTTATTCTCTTTATAATTCTTATCAGATTCTAAAATTGACCTATTTGTGCATTTACTTACTTCTTCATTTATTTGTTTACTGCACTAGAATATAAGCTTATAGGGCAGGTATGTTTTTAGTCTTGTTCACTTTTTGTATTCACAACTGATAGCACATAGTTTGGCACACTGGACAAGTTTATGTTGTCCATTATTGTCCATTATATGTTCAATAAATGAGTGAGTGTTTTATATCAGGCAAAAGAAAATGATGGGGAGGCGCGTAAAAAGGGATGGAAAAAAAAAAATCTGCCATTCCCTATTTCCTTCCCTGGTCAAGGTTTTAAATTTCACAAAAGAAGGCCACACATTTCCCTCCCCTTTCTTGTTCTGGCCTCACCATAGTAAGTAGAGAGGATTCTTGACATAATCGTGCCCCACATCTATCTTTGAGCCACTGTAGCATTTCGGTCATTTCTCATTTCATGGAAGTTCTACTTTTTAATGATTTATTTGATTTAGGAGAAATATTTGTAACGTTATCTGGTTTATGGCATGAATTTTTAGGCATTTATTTTTTAGCTACCCCCCCTCAACCCTTTTTAAAAATAAAGCTTGTTTCCTTCTTTTTTTCTTGCAATAGCTTTTGGTGCAACCTATCTTGTTTCCTTCTGTTTAACTTATTACTTATCTTTCAATTGGAGTTATTTTTCTTGGACCAATTATTTGCTTACTCCCTATTGCATAGTCTTTCTGTCTGAATTGCATATTCTTTTCTTACTGAAGAGTAAAAATTTAATATCCTTGATTGCTTTGTCTCATTAAGTTCAGTATTATTGCCTCATTTTGTGGTTACATGTTAAATAATTAAGTGTTCCTGAAGGAAAGAAAAATATTTTGGTTTTAAAATCATTTTGGTTCATAGACTCATGTCTGATTTTACAGAACCATAAAATCTCAAAATTAAGTAAGACCTCAGACATCATTTACTACAGAACATTCCCCAACATATAAATCTCCTCTATTATCTACAATAGTATAAGAACCATGAGGGCAGAGTTCATGCCTATGTTTGCTGCTCTATCCCCCATACTAAGCATGATGTCTGACATATAGTGTGTTCTTATTTAACATTTTTTGGAATGACAAAAGTAAAATTTCCATTTGGGTAACATGATTTTTCCAAGTTCAGAAAACATGAACATATTTTATGACCATTAATTAGTCTTCAGAAAATACTTTAAGGATGTTTGTAAATATGTTTAAGAAAAAAGCACAAAGAGGTTCAGAGCAGCTATTTGTTGAAAAGCAAGATACTGTGGAAACATCTATCAGTAAGAAAATGAGTAAGCGAAGTGTTATATAGTCGTTAGACAGAAGCCTAAATACAGTGGTCAAATGAACTTCAGACATTTATCAACAGGATGAGTCATAAAAATATAATTTTAAGGAAGAAAAATCAAGTCATAGAAGAGTAAAAAGAAATTATTCCATTCCATGAAGTTTAAATATATGCAAACATGCAAAATATATGCTTCAGGAGTCCTTTTGGCTGCTGTAACAAAATGTCATAGACTGAGTGCCTTATAAACAAAACAAACACACACACACACACACATATATGTGTGTATATATATATATATATATATGTGTATATATATATATATCTCTACACACACACACACACATATATCTTACAATTTTGGATTCTGGGAAGCCCAAGATCAATGTGCCAGCAGATTCTGTGTCTAATGAGAGGATATTTTCTGGTTCATGGATTGTTGTCTTTTTGCTGGGTCCTCGCCGGGCAGAGGGAGAAGGAGTCTATCTCTGGGAGTCATTATTTCAACTCATAAATTTTGACAGGGGGCTTAAACACTCAGACCATAGCAGGAGACATACGTATGCATAGCAAAAATATAAATAAATGCTTGAATATGGCAAACAAGAAATTCAAAGTAAGGTTATCCTGCTGTGGATGGAAGTGAATGATAAGAGGGCACCTACGAAGACTACATAGGGGCTTCATGGTAACACTTTGTTTTCTTTCTTAAACTGGGTATTGGATACAGATACTCTATTTTTCCTATTTTTATGTGCTTGAAATATTTCACAATAAATGTCAAATCCCAATGGTCTGAAATAAAATTGAGCAAGGAAAAAAGATATTCCTCCTTAAAGAATATAAATATAGTCAGAGGTGGAGCAAGATGGCTGAATAGAAGCCCCCATTGGTCATCCTCCCAGCAGGAGCACCACATTTAACATTATCTACACAAAAAAGCACCATATCATGAGAACCAACAATCAGGTGAGTGATCATAGTAACTGGTTTTAACTTCAAATTACTGAAAGAGGCACTGGAGAGGGTAAGAGAGACAATCTTGAATTGCCCATACCACCCCTCCCTCATCCCATGGCAGTGATCATGTAATGCAAAGAGAATCTGTGCACTTGGGGGAGGGAGAGCACAGCAATTGTGGGACTTTGCATTGGAATCGAGTGCTATCAACACCAAGCAGAACTCAGCCACTGCCTATGGAGGAAGCATTTAGATAAGCCCTAGCCAGAAGGGAATTGCCCATCCCAGCAGTTGGAACTTGAGTTTCAGCAAGCCTTGCCACCACAGGCTAAAGTGCTCCGGGGTTCTAAATAAATTCAAAAGGCAGTTTAGGCCACAAGGACTGCGACTGCTAGCTAAGTCCTGGTGCTATGCTGGGTTCAGAGCCACTGGACTTGGGGTGCATGTGACCTAGTGATACACCAGCTGGGTGGCTAAAGGAGTGTTTGCATCACCCCTTCCCCAACCCCAGGCAATGCAGCTCACAGCTCTGAAAAAGACTCTTTTCTTCCTCTTGAGGAAAAGCAAAGGGAAAAGTAAAGAGGACTTTGTCTTGTAACTTGGATACCAGCTCAGCTACTGTGGGATAGGGCACCAGGCAGAGTCAAAAGGCCCCCCATTCCAGGCTCTAGCTCCTGGATAACATTTCTAGACACACCCTGGGCCAGAAGGAAACCTGCTGTCTTGGAGGGAAGGACCAGCCCTGGCAGGATCCATCACCTGCTGACTAAAGTGTCCTTGGTCCCTGAACCAGGTAGTACATGCTGAGGGACTTACTCTGAGACATACTGGCTTCAGGTGTGACCCAGCACATTCCCAACTGTGGTGGCTATGAGGAAAGACTCCTTCTGTTTGAGAAAAGGAGAGGAAAGAGTAAAGGGGACTTTGTCTTGCAGCCTGGGTAGCAGCTCAGCCACAATGGGGAAGAGCACCAAGCAGGGTCTTGATTTCAAGCCTTGGCTCTTAAATGGCATTTCTAGAACTACTCCAGGCCAGAGGGGACCCCAACTACCAGGCCTGGCAGCATTCACCACAAGTTGACTGAAAAGCCTTTGGGCCTTAAGTGAATATCAACAGTACTCTGGCAGCATTCCTGTGAGCCTGTGGTGGCAGTAGACATGAGGAGGGAGACAACGCTGCCTCAGGAAAGCGGAGGGAAGAGTGGGAAGGACTTTGTCCTGTGGTTTTGGTGTCAGCTCAGCCACAGTAGAATAAAGTATCAGGTAGATTTCTAAGGTTTCTGACTCTAGGCCCTGGCTCCTGGACAGCATCTCTGGACCTGCCTGGGGCCCAGGGGAACTCACTGCTTTGAACAGAAGGAGACAAGCCTAGCTCACTTTGCCACCTGCTGATTGTACAGCCCTAGGGTCTTGAGAGAACATAAGTGGTAGCTAGGGAGTGGTTACCGCAGGCCTTGGGCAAGACTCAGTGCTGTGCTGGCTTCAGGTCTGACCTAGGACAGTCCCAGTGGCCGTGGCCATAGAGGTGCTTGTGTCACCCTTCCCCCAGCTCCAGGGAGCTCATCAGAGAGAGAGAGAGAGAGAGCCTCCATAGTACTGGGAGAAAGTAAGGGAAGAGGACAGGAATCTCTGCCTGGTAATCCAGAGAATTCTCCTGGATCTTATCCATGATCACCAAGGTGGTACCTCTGTGAGTGTGCAAGAACCACAGTATTACTGGGCTGAGAGTGTCTCCTAATATAGATATGGCTGCAGTGACCAAAAACTGAGATCACAACACCCAAGTCCCTTCAGATACCTGAAAAGTGTTCCCAAGAAGGATGGGTACAAACAAACACAGACTGCAAAGACTCCAGTAAATATCTAACTGCCCAGACATCAACAATCATCCGCAAGTATCAAGACCATCCAGGAAAACATGATCTCACCAAACACTAAATGAAGTACCACAGACCAATCCCAGAGAGACAGAGATATGTGACCTTTTAGACAGATAATTGGAAATAGCTGTTTTGAAGAAACTCAAATAAATTCAAAATAACACGGAGAAGAAATTAGGAATCTTATCAGAAATTAAGAATCCTAAATTTAAAAATAAATTGAAATAATTTTAAAAATCAGCAGAAATTCTGGAGCTCAAAAATGCAATTGACATACTGAAGAATACATCAGAGTCTCTTAAGAGCATAGTGAGAAACTTAAGAAAGAATTAGTGAGCTTAGAGACAGGCCATTAGAAAATACACAGAGGAGACTAGAGAAAATAGAGTGAGAAAGAAAGAAGCATGCCCACACTATCTAGAAAATAGCCTCAAAAGGGCAAACCTAAGAGTTATCATCCTTAAAGAGGAGGTAGAGAGAGAGGTAGGGGTAGAAAATGTGTTCAAAGGCATAATAACAGAGAACTTCCCAAACCTAAAGAAAGGTATCAATATTCAAATACAAGAAGGTTAGAACACCACATAGATTTTACTCAAAGAAGATTACCTCAAGGCATTTAATATCACACTCCCAAAGCTCAAGGATAAAGAAAGGATTCTAAAAACAGGAAGAGAAAAAGAATCAATAACATACAATGGAGCTCCAACACATCTTGCAGCAGCCTTTTCTGTAGAAACCTTACAGGTCAGAGGAGAGTGGCATGACATATTAAAGTGTTGAAGAAAATTCTAAATTAAAGTGCTGAATGAAATTCTATTTCACTAGATATATTATTCTAGGATAATTTAATCCTGGAATAATATATCTGGTGAAATATCTGGTGAATAATTTATCTGGTAAAATATCTCCTTTATGTTTTCTTCATTGAAACATGCAGGAGAAATAAAGTTTCCCAGACAAACAAAAGCTCAGGGATTTCATCAACAGCAGACCTATCCAATATGAAATGGTAAAGAAATTTGTTCAATCTGAAAAAAGAAGGATATTAGTGAGCATAAGAAATTATTGAAGGTACAAAACTCACTGGTAATAGTAAGTACATATAAAACAAAGATATAAATAGAAACAGCAAAAATTTAAAATTCAGGGAGACAAAGTCAAAGTGTAGAGTTTTTATTAGTTTTCTTTTTGCTTCTTTGTTACTTTGTTTATGCAATCAGTGTTAAGTTGTCATCAGTTTTAAATAATGGGTTGTAAAATATTATTTGTAAGCCTCATGGTAACTTTAAATCCAAAAACATACAATGGATGAACAAAAAATAAAAAGCAAGAAATTAAAACATGCCACAAGAAAAATAACCTACACTAAAAAGAAGAAAGGAAGCAAGGAAAGAAGGAAGACAAGACCACAAAACCACCAGAAAACAAATAACAAAATGGCAGGAGTAATTCCTTACATATCAATAATAACATTGAATGCAAATGGAAAGCAAAACAGAGCAGGATTAGCTATACTTATATCAGAGAAAAGAGATTTCCAGACAAAAACAATATAAAGACAAACAGAAGGTCATTATGTAATGATAAAGGGGTCAATCTGCAGTATAGACCAAAATGACCTAATAGATATTTACAGAACATTTTACTCAACATTCTTCTCCTCAGCACATAGATCATTCTCAAGGATAGACCATATGTCAGTACACAAAACAAGTCTTAAAAATTTTTTTAATTAAAATTATATCAAGTATCATCTCTCACCACAAAAAAAAGGAACTAAAAATCAATAACAAGAGGAACTTTGGAAACTATACAAACACATGGAAATTAAATAATGTGCTCCTGAATGATCAGGGGATCAATGAAGAGATTAAGAAGGAAATTTAAAAATTTCTTGAAACAAATGATAATGGGGATACAACATACCAAAACCTATGGGATACAGTGAAACAATTGTAAGAGGGGAGTTTTTAAGTGCCTACATAAAAAAAGAAGACAAACTTCAAATAAACAATGTAATGGTGCATCTTAAAGAACTAGAAAATCAAAAGCAAACCAAACCCAAAATTAATAGAAGTAAAGAAATAATAAAGATCAGAGCAGAGATAAATGAAATTGAAAAAAGAAAACAATAGAAAAAATAAAAGGTGTTTTCTTGAAAAGATAAACACAATTGACAAACCATTAGCCAGATTAACTATGAAAAAATGATAGAACACCCAAATAAATAAAATCAGAGATGAAAAAGGAGACATTACACCCAGTATCACCAAAATTCAAAGGATCATTAGCGGATGCTAAGAGCAACTATATGCCAATACACTGGAAAACCTGGAAGAAATGGATAAATTCCTAGACATGTACAACCTACCAAGATTGGACCATGATAAAATCCAAAGCCTAAACTGACCTATAACAAATAACAAGATTGAAGTTGTAATAAAATGTCCCCCAGCAGCAGGGCACAGTGGCTCACATCTGTAATCCCAGCACTTTGGGAGGCTGAGCAGGTAGAGCACCTGAGGTCAAGTGTTTGAGGCCAGCCTGGCCAACATGGTGAAACCCCGTCTCTACTAAAAGTACAAAAAATTAGCCAGGCATGGTGGCGGACGCCTACAATACCAGCTACTTGGGATGCTAAGACAGGAGAATTGCTTGAACCCAGAGGTAGAGGCTATAGTGAGCTGAGATCGTGCCATTGCACTCCAGCCTGGGCGACAGAGTGAGACTCTGTCTCAAAAACAACAACAACAACAACAACAACAACAAAAAGTGTGCTAGCAAACAAAAGCCTGGGACCTGATGGCCTCACTGTTGAATTCCACTGAACATTTAAAGAAGAACTAATACCAATCCTACTCAAACTATTCCCAAAAAATAGAGGAGAAGGGAATACTTCCAAACTCATTCTATAACACCAATATTCCCTTGATGCCAATGGCAGATAAAGACACATCAGAGAAAGAAAACTATAGGATAATATCCCTGGTGAACATTAATGCAAAAATCCTCAACAGAATACTAAGCAAACTAAATTAATCAATACATTAAATAGATTATTCATCATGACCAAGTGGGATCTATCCCAGGAATGCAAGGATGGTTCAACATATGGAAGGCAATCAGTGTGATACTTCTTATCAACAGAATGAAGGACAAATCCATATGGTCATCTCAAATGATGCTGAAAAGGCATCTGATAAAATTCAACATCCCTTCATGATAAAAACCCTCAAAATCTGGGGAAAGAAGAAATATACCTCAACATCATAAAAGCCATATATGACAGACCCACAGTTAGTACCATACTAAATGAGGAAAAACTGAAAGCCTTTCTTCTAAGACCTGAAACATGGCAAAGATGCTCACTTTCACAACATTCAACATAACATTGGAAGTCCTAGCTGGAACACTCAGACAAGAGAAAGAAATAAAGGGCATCTGGCTGGGTGCAGTGGCTCATGCCTATAACCCCAGCACTTTGGGAGGCTGCCACTATACTCCAGTCTGGTGACAGAGTGAGACTCTGTCAAAAAATAAATAAATAAATAAATAAAAATAAAGTCATTCAAATTGGAAAGGAAAAAGTCATATTATCCTTGTTTTCAGATGATGTAATTTTATATTTGGAAAAACCAGAAGACTCCACCTAAAAACTATTTGAACTGATAAAATCAGTAAAGTTGCAGAATTCAAAATCAACATGCAAAAATCAGTAGCATTTCTATATGCCAACAGCAAAAAAAAAAAAAAAATTGAAAAAGAAATCGGGAACATAATCCCACTTACAATAGCTACTCATAAAGTAAAATACCTAGCAATTAACCAAAATAGTGAAAGATCTCTGCAGTTAAAAAGTACAAAACACTCATGAAAGAAACTGAAGAGAACACAAAAAGATGGAAAGATATTCCATGTTCATAGATTGGAAGAATCAATATTGTTAAAACGTCCATAACATGGAAAGCAACCTAGAGATGTAGTACAATCCCTATCAAAATACCAATGACGGCTGGGCACAGTGGCTCATGCCTATAATCCCAGCACTTTTGGAGGCTGAGGCAGGTGGATCACTTGAGGCCAGAAGTTTAAGACCAGCTTGGCCAACATGGAAAAACACCATCTTCACTAAAAATACAAAAATTAGCTGGGTGTGGTGGCACGTGCCTGTAGTCCCAGGTACTTGAGAGGTTGAGGCATGAAAATTGCTTGAACCTGGAAGGCAGATGTTGCAGTGAGCTACAATCACATGACTGCACTCCAACCTGGGTGACAGAACGAAACTATGTCTCAAACAAAACAAGACAAAACAAACAAAAATCACTGACATTCTTTACAGAAATAGAAAAAAAAATCCCCAAATTTACATGGAACTGCAAAAGACACAGAATAGCTAAAGATATCCTGAGCAAAAAGAACAAAATGGGAGGAATTATTATTCATTACCTGACTTTGAATTATACCGCAGAGATATAGTAACCAAAACACCATGGTACTGGCATAAAAACAGACATGTAGACCGATGGAATAGAATAGAGAATCTGGAAACAAATCTATATAGCTACAGTGAACTCATTTTGACCAATGTGCCAGGAACATACATTGGGAAAATGACAGTTTCTTCAATAAATAATACTGGGAAAACTGGATATCCATATGCAGAAGAATGAAAATAGACTCCTATCTCTTGTCATATATAAAAATCAAATCAAAATGGATTAAAGACTTAAATCTAAGTCCTCAACATATGAAATTATTAAAAGAAAACATTGGAGAAATTCTTCAGGACATTGGACTAGGCAAAGATTTCTTGAGTAATAGCCCAAAAACCCAGACAACTAAAGTGAAAACGAACAAATCAAGCTTAAAGTTTCTGCACAGCAAAGAAAACAATCAACAAAGGAAAGAGACAACCCCCAGATTGGGAGAAAATATTTGCAAACTACCTATCTGATAAGGGATTAATATAGGAATATATAAGGAGTTCAAACAACTCTATAGGAAAGAAATCTAATAATCCAATTTAAAAATTAGCAAAATAGCTGAATAGACTTTACTCAAAAGAAGACATACCAATAGCAAACAGGCATGTGAAAAGGTGCTCAACATCATTGATCATTAGAGAAACGCAAATCAAAACTACTTCACCCCAGTTAAAATGGCTTTTATCCAAAAGAAATGCAATAACAAATGCTGGAGAGGATGTGGAGAAAAGGAATGCTCATACACTGTTGACGGGAATGTAAACTGGTACAACCACTAGGGAGAACAGTTTGGAGGTTCCTCAAAACCTAAAAATAGAGCTACCACATGACCCAGCAGTCCCACTGCTGTGTATATACCCAAAACAAAGGAAATCAGGATATCAAAGAGATATCTATACTCCCATATTTATTGCAGCTGTATTCATAATAGCCAAGATTTGGAAGTAACCTAAGTGTCCATCACCAGATGAATGGATAAAGAAAATGTGGTACATATACACAATGGAGTACTATTCAGCCATTAAAAAGAATGAGATCCTGTCATTTGCATCAACATGTATGGAACTGGAGGTCATGTTATGTGAAATAAGCCAGGCATAGAAAGACAAACTTTGCATGTTCTTGTTTATTTGTGGGAGCTTAAAATTAAAACAATCGAACTCATGGAGACAGAGAGAAGGCCCAGAGGCTGGGGCTGGCAGTCGGGGGATTGGCGGGGAGTGGGTATGGTTAATGGGTACAAAAAGTAGTTAAAAAGAAAGAATAAGAACTTGTATTTGATAGCACAACAGGGTTACCATAGTCAACAATAATTTAATTGTACATTTAAAAATAACTAAAAGAGTATAATTGAACTGTTTGTAACACAAAGGATAAATGCTTGAGGGGATGGATACACCATTTACCCTGATGTAAGTATTACACATTGTATGCTGGTATCAAAATATCCCATATACCTCGTAAATCTTAAATATATACTCCTAATATATGCCCACAAAAATTAAAAATTAAAATTAAAAAAAGAATGTGAATATGAGGCTTAGGGAGACATTCACTGAATATTGAATTGATTCCTCAAAAGTATAAAATGTATATTTTATAAGTAATATTGGAAACAATAATTAACATTGTCACTAACATCTTATACCTCAACTAGTATAATTCGGTATTCAGTATTTTTCCCAAAATTATTACTTACAGTCATTGAAAATGTTAACTATCATGTTTAACTTGTAATTGCTTGTTGAAAGGAAAGAATATGAAAATGGTTAGAGTACATTGCAAATGTAGCTAGCAGTGTTTGTAATAAGGCTGAGATTCTGATGGATTTGCATAGAATTTGAATTACAAGTTACCTCCTTATAAAAGGTAAATTCTACATTTTATAAAGGCATATACATTTGATAGTAAATATTCTAAATTAATTGCAAATGTTAGCTTATTGAGTCCTCACTAACAAGAGCTATTATCTCATTTGACAGAGGATGTAATTGAGGTGCAGAAAGGTGAAGTGACTTGCCCAAGGTCACACATTTTGTAAGAGGTGAAGGTAGAACTGCAACCCAGGTTGCCCAGCCTGAAAGTCCGATCACTAACAGAAGTTTCCCACCCATCCCTAATCGACAAATTCGCAGTACAATAGAAAATCGTGGGTTTAGTTTAGTTTTTTTTTTTTCTTTTTTTCTTTTTTGAGACGGAGTTTCGCTCTTGTTGCCCAGGCTGGAGTGCAATGGCGCGATCTCGGCTCACCGCAACCTCCGCTTCCCGGGTTCAAGTGATTCTCCTGCCTCAGCCTTCCGAGTAGCTGGGATTACAGGCATGTGCCACCACGCCCAGCTAATTTTGTATTTTTAGTAGAGACGAATTTCTCCATGTTGGTCAGGCTGGTATCGAACTCCCGACCTCAGGTGATCCGCCCGCCTCGGCCTCCCAAAGTGCTGGGATTACAGGCCTGAGCCATTGCGCTCAGCCTCAGAAAATCGTGTTTTTAAAGCTCTTTCAGTTGTAATACATTACAGTTCTGTGAGGAGGAGAGCTCTGAGTGCTTACTCGGCATCAGGCAATTTGTGCTATATGCCCATATCTTCCAAATAACCTTATGAGATCAGTACTGTTATTATCCATGTTGTACATGTGAGGAAAATGAGGAACAGAGAATGGAAATAATTTTCTAAGCATCTCATAACCAACCGACGGTGGATTCAAGCCTATAAAATCGGATTGCAGTCTATATAGCTTGTCTCTTAAGCCTTGTGCGTCAGAACTATTATTATAAATCTTTTAATATGCAAAAGCAAAACAAACATGAAACTAAATGGAGGTATTATAGAATTGGGGAAATGGAGAGAGGTGGAAGAGGGCTTTCCGTGTGCAGTAGCAAGAGAAGTGGCAGCAGCTGGCAGTGAGTGGATTAAAATGTTACCACG
Organism: Homo sapiens; assembly: GCF_000001405.40. Taxonomy (NCBI): domain Eukaryota; kingdom Metazoa; phylum Chordata; class Mammalia; order Primates; family Hominidae; genus Homo; species Homo sapiens. The sequence continues at coordinate 39,145,696 of NC_000012.12, read as the reverse complement.
GAACGCGCCTTTTTAACTCTGGCCTTGAAATCCTGTCAGCGCGCTTCCCAGAGCCTTGCACCAGGTTGGGTGGACCGGATGGACACCCTCGGTGTCGCCTGCTCTCCATCGCCCCTGGTGCCGGCGTCCGCCACTGTCGGGACTTTGGCGCCGGGACCGGCGGGGTTAAGGCGCCGGCGCTGGAGGCGGCGAGTTCGCGACCTTCCGGGGCGGCGGACCACCCCGCACACGCGTCCTCAGCGCCGGACCCTGAGCCGGCCGCGAACACGGATCCGACGTCAAGAACTGGGCACTTCCCGCTCCGTTTTGTCCGTGCCCCTCGGTGCTGGGTGAGGTCCTCCAGCACCAGGAGGCGGGAACGGGAGTGACTCGGGTGCTGAAGCGGGACGAATTGGGGGCGGTCGAATCCACCTGCTTCGCCGGCGCTGGCTCGGGGCACTCCGAGTGGGCGCGCGCTTTCGCGCCGGGGTCGTCTGAAGGTCGCGGACTCTGTCCCGCTCTGGAGTTTGTGGCGGGTTTGGGCGTGGGTGTGGGTAGGAGGTCCCTTCATGAAGCCCCGAAGAGCAAGAGGGACATAAGTTGGCGCCTTTCTCTTCCACTCTTGTTTTAAAAAAGAGAGTCGCGGCGTGCAAATGGGGGCAGGCGGGGAAACCACGCTCAAAACCGGGTTCTCTCCTGGGCTGTAGTGATAAGGGCCGCGGAACCCCACCCCCCTCCCCAGAATGTGCCCCAGGGCTCGGGGCCGGCTTCTGTGGCGGCCTCTCCGGGACCGGCTGGGCCGCCCAGGCCCGCCCCTCCCCAGTCCCGGCGCCCTGGGCCCTCTGTTTGCAGGCGTCGCGACTTGCAGCCAGGGCACGTGGGGCAGGTGCGGATTCTGTCGCTAGAGACCTAGTCGCCTCCCTCCTACTGCCTTTCCCGCGAGCGGGGCAGGTGGCGCAAGGTCCGCTCCCACTTGGACCCCCAGTTCGCGGCCAGGGGGCTGAGCCGGGGTAGCTCGGCGTTGAGTGGGGACCCGGTCGGCTGCCGCCGGGGTGAGCGGTCGGTCCTGGAACCTGCGAACGTTCGGGAGCACAACCCAGTCCCGGGAAACCGCTGCTTAACCTCCGTCTCCTGCGTTTTAGATCCTCTTTTGACTGTCCCACATCTGATACTCCTTACTGTATTGCACACTTCAGCATTTGTTGAGAGGGTAATCTCATATTAAGTGTTCTTACCACCATACAAGAAAATAGAAAGTCATGTTCACTGTTTCATCTCCAATTTTAGGGATCTATACCTGACATAATTTAAATATCCAAACTAAAACAGTATCTTGGTGACTATTCAGAGGGATGCACTGACTCGCTGAACGCTAGAATTTTTCTATGTTCCACAGTCTGTGGAAGATGCAACGATCCCTTTTCAGAAAACTAAATCTAAGAGGTATTAAACAGCCTATGTTATGACTAATTACACTGACAGCTTGCAATGATGGGGCGTGGGGGAAAGAAGACATTATAATGGACTGAGGTCCTTTGAGAACATGACAAAGAAGGGAGGGAGTTGAACACCTGGAAGTCCAGTTCGGGAAGGATGTGCCTGATAGAAGTTGATCCAAACCAGGGGGAGCAGGCTCCAGGGAAGATGAGGAGGGGTAAGGTGGCCACTGAAAGCGACTTTTTGGAGGTGTGTTTTAGACTCAGGTTCCTCCATAGCCTTTTTATTTTTAAAACATATTTACTCTGTTCATTTCTTTCTCTTAATAACTGTTACCTCTGTCCAAACAACAATAACTTTGCATCAAATAATATTTACGTGCACTTTACAGATTTTCTAAAAGTCATAATGGCTTATTGCTACAATCTGCATTAATTCTTCACAAAGGAGATAAATGTAACAATAGTTTATCAAAGCAAGAGTGTTTTGTTGTTGTTGTTGTTGTTGTTGTTGTTGTTTTAATACAATTGGCCCTCTGTATCCGTGGTTCTGCATTGTGGATTCAACTAACCAGGGCTGGAAAATATTCGGAGGAAAAAAAAATAATACAATTAAAAACAAAAAATACAGTATAACAACTATTTCCACAGCATTTACATTGTGTTAGGTATTTTAAGGAATCTAGAGATGATTTAAAGTGTATGGAAGGATGTGCAGTGTGCATAGGTTATATGCAAATACAAGGCCATTCTATGTAAGAGACTTGAGCATCCTTAATACCTAGTTGGTAAGGGTGGAGGTTTGGGGGCGGGGGGTCCTGTAATGAATCCTAGGTGATACCCTGGAACAACTGTATTCCCCTAGGAGCCTGGCTTTGTTCAGACATTTCTTCCTCAATATTTTTCCTCAGTATTACTTATAAAAATAAAGTAATGCTGTAAGGAGATACAAGACAGAGGAGATTCCTGATTTGGAGGAGCTTTTGATTAACTTGTGGAAATGTACAAACAAGAGAGAAACAGTAAAGCAAAGTATTGTACAATGGCACAGTATAGATTGAAACAAATGACAAGGGAATGTAGAATAAAAGAGTGATTACAGAGAGATACACTTCTGGATGCCAAACTAAGTTCTAATACATAGCTTTCTTTTCTATAACGTACCGTATTAGTCTGTTCTCACACTGCTGATAAAGACATACCCAAGACTCGGTAATTTATAAAGAAAAAGAGCTTTAATGGACTCAACAGTTCCACGTGGTGGGGGAAGGCAAAAGGCACATCTTACATGGCGGCAGATAAGAGAGAAAATGAGAATGAAGGGGGTTTCCCCCTATAAAACTATCAGATCTCCTGAGACTTATTCACTACCATGAGAACAGTATGGGGAAAACTGCCGCCATAATTCAGTTATCTCCCATCGGGTCCCTCCCACCACACGTGGGAATTATGGGAGCTACAATTCAAGATGAGACTTCAGTGGGGAACACAGCCAAGCCATATCACATGCTATAAACTTGAGACAAGCTATAGTACTTGAGACAAGTCTCGGTCAATTTAGAAAGTTTATTTTGCCAAGGTTATGGATGCACCCATGACACAGTCTCAGGAGGTCCTGATGACATGTGCCCAGGGTGGTCAGGATACAGCTTACTTTACACGTTTTAGGGAGACACAATACATCAATCAATACATGTAAGAATTACATTGGTTCAATCTGGAAAGGCTGGACAACTTAAAGATGGGGGCTTCCAGGTGATAGGTAGATTTTAAAATTTTCTGACTGGCAATTGGTTGAAAGAGTTATTATCAATAGAAAGGAATGTCTGGATTTGTGGAGACCTAGGTTTTATCTTGTAGATGAAGGCTCCAAGTACCAGGCTTCAGAGAGAATAGACTATAAATGCTTCTTATCAAATCTAAGGTCTGTGTTGATGTAAATTCTGGGGAGCTGTAATGAGGCTTGTCCAACCCTCTCTTCTATCAGGTTCTGAACTAGAATGGCAGAAAGGAGGGGTCCATTCAGATGGTTGGCGGCCTTGGGATTTTATTTTTGGCTTACGATACATATTGGGTTTAATAATTTGGCAAATTATAGGTAGTTTGTATCAACAAAGGTTTTAGAGTGAAGTTACCTCCCTGCATCAGATCAATAAAATCAATAGTAGATGAATTGCTCAGCTGTTTTTAGGCATGTGTTCAAACAGACCCGTATGCTTTATTTTGTCTTGTTTTGTTTTGGCATGGTTCTTGAGGTAGAAAACAGACCAGCTGAAGCAGAGTTTCAAGGATACCAATCAATTACTCACCTAACAGGTGCTGTAACCAGAACTTCCTGCAGGTTTAACCACTTTTTTTACGTGACACCTATCCCCATTTTGCTCCAACCAACCATCAAGATCAGTAAATCCACAAGCTGTAATGATGACCATGCTATTATGAGATATTCTATTTCAAATTAGAAGGCGCATTGTGCATTTTTTCTTTATTTGCTATGGGACTTTTTTTGAGGAAATAGTGAGGAATTCCATAAAATTGTAGGTTATTGCCATGTTAGAGAGACTTTTCTGTTGAATAGACTAGAGATTCTCAAAATGTGGTCTCTGAACCAGCTGCATCGATACCTTCTCAGAACTTGTTAGAATGCAAATTCTCAGGTACCATCCCGGCCCTACTGAATCAAAAATTCTGGGGTGGGACCCAGAAATCTGTTTTAACAAGCCCTCCCGGTGATTCTAATTCATACTGGAGTTTGAGAATTACTGTGATAGACCATAGTAGGAGGTTTTCAAGATGTGGTCTGTTGACCATTGCAACAAAAGCATCTGTGGTGTTTGTTTCAGAAAAAAAAAATGCATAGTTAGTACTATATCCTCTCTTCCTCAACCATACCGCCTCTGAGTCTGTGATTTGCAGGCTTGCCAACTGCACGTCTAAGTGGTTCATCAGTTAATTCATGCACATATTGAAGTTTTACAATCTTTATTGTAGGAGTCACTATGTACAATGTATGTGTGTGTGTATGTTTTAAAGTCATATTTATCGATCATTTATTAAAGGAAATGTACACTCAATAAATAACAGGCAGAAGGATAGAATGGAAATATTGGTTTCTTATGTACTGGGAAGAACTAAAGATTAGGCTCCTCCCCACCTTGGGGAGAAATTAATTTTTCAGTTGCAAATAAGTAATACACTATCAGTAATACTCAAGAACCCTGGTTCTATTACATACTAGCTCTGTGACATTGTCAAGTTACTTAACTTCTTTAAGGCTTAAGCTTTCTCATCTGTAACATGGAAATCCTCCTTGATGAATTTTGGGATTTAGTTTAAATGTCATCTCAAAGAGACCTATCCTGACATTCCAATCTGGAATAGTCACTGTGACACGCACAGTCTCTGCATGGGACTTAGGATCGGTTGGTTGTTCTTTCTTATTTATTTATTTATTGGTTGATTGGTTTTATTTGCTTCCACTGGAACATATGATGCATGAGGTCATAGACTTTTATTATTTTGTTCACTCTTGTATGATCAATAACTAGAACATAGTAGGTATTTCACAAATACTTGTTGAATGAAGAATTGACTAATATAAAGACTTGTTCAGGGCCTGGTCACGGTGATAGCTCTATAAGTGGTTGGAGTATGATAGCACAAGTACATGGGAAGTACTAGGGAGCATGATGGAGTTACCTGGCTAAGGCAAGTCAACAAATTAGAGGCTTGCCTTTGTTTTGTTGTATGATTTATTTTTAAAATATATTTCATTTTTTTATTTCTGAAGCTTTCTGGTTTTTAGCTGTGCACATTCTGTTTTCTTCTCTTGTGTGATTAACCCGTTGGTAAAATTTGATGTTTGTGTATATTTGATATTGATTTATTTTGTAGAACTAAATTTTCTACCTATGTGCAAATAAATATTTATTGTACAAATAAATGACGAAGTACATGTCACAAGTGATGATAATTTTTAAATTGCATTGGAATTACTTCTAATGGGCTTGGAATTTTTCCTCCCCCAAATGTTTGTTTTTCTTCTTTATGTAAGAAAAACTCTGAAAAACATAAACTGTAATATGTGCAGACTCTCATAATTCTTGCTAATAAACCAGCATAAATAACTGTATAATTTAGGTGCTAAATGAAATAATCTCATAGGAAGGGGAAAAATAATGATGAAGGATATAAAAAGGGAAGAATTGCGGGATGTATGTCCTTGCATAAGAAAGAGAGGAATGAATTAGTACAAAAGTGGAGGGATAGGCATTAGCTTGGAGTCAAGATAATTTATCTATACTATTAGGAAGGAAAGCAGTTACAATTGCTTTTTAAATTAGTTAAAAGAAGAAAAGAGAAGAAATATTTTTACTGTTCTTTATAATTACAAAATCACGTTTATTATCCCTCTTTGTTTTTTTAGTGTGGATTCAAGTTGCTGCCTGGAGTTACTTGCTTTTAACCTAAAGAGCTTCCTTTAGTATGTCTAGTAAGATGGGTTTGTTAGTAACAAATTCTCTTCATTTTTATATATTTGAGAATGTCTTTATTTTGCCATCATTTTAGAAAGATAGTTTTGTTAGAAATAAGGTCTTCAGTTGACAATTACTTTTTGATCTTTCAGCATTTTGAGTATGTCATTCTCCTACCTTCTGTCTTCATTGTTTCTGATGGAAAGTCAATTGTTAATTTGAATGAGGTTCTCTTGTATGGGATGAGTTATTTCTCACTTGCTGCTTTCAAGATTTTCCCTTTGTCTTTAACATTCAACATTTTTGCTATGGTGTTTCCTGGTGTAGATCCCCTTGCACTTATCCTAATTAGATTTTGTTGGGTTTTGTAGATGTATAAATAAATGTTTTTCATCACATTTGGGAATTTTTCAGCCATTATTCTTTGAATATTTTTTATGCTCCATCATTTCCCCTCTCTTCTTCTGTTATTCCCATTTCATGTATGTTGGTGAGCTTAATGGTGTCCCTGCATTTCTATGAGTTTCTGCTCATTTTTATTCATTACCTTTTCTCTCTGTTTTTTAGATTGCATAATCTCTATTGCTCTGTCATCAAATTTTCAGATTTCTTTCTTCTGTCATCTGAAATCTACTATTGGGTCCCTCTAGTGAATATTTCATTTCAGTTAATGTACATTTTTGCTGCACAATTTTCATTTGGTTCTTTGAAAACATAATTTCTGTCTTTTTATTGATATTCTCTTAATTGATGACACATTGTCATCATACCTTTCTTCTTTAAGTATTGTTTCTTTTAGTTTTTGAAATATATTTACAGTAGCTGCTTTAAAATCTTTATCTGCAAGTCCACCATCTGGTCCTCTTCAAAGGCAGTTTCTATTGCCTGTGTGTGTGTGTGTGTGTGTGTGTGTGTGTGTGTGTGTGTCACACTTCTTCCTTTTTGCATATCTTGTAACTTTTTTGTTAAAAAGAAAGTTAGACATTTTAAATAACACATTGTAGTAACTCTGGCTACTGAACTCTACTCTTTCAGGCTTGTTTTTGATGTTGTTTGCTTGTTTATTTGTTTGGTGACTTATCTGGACTATTTTTGAGAGGTCTATTTTACCTGCAGTGTGCAGCCACTGACATTGCTTCATGTAGTGCAGCCTTGGACATGTGCACAATCTTTCTATGACAATGGTGGTTTTAGAAGGGTTCTCTTTTTCTATTTCTTTGATTTCTTTAGTAAATTATTTGCTTCGCTTGGTATCAGGCTCAGCTGTAAGCCAACACTAATTGCCAACTGATTACACTATTGTTTTTGACAATGCCCTGGGGCGTAGATTGCTCTCCAGTTGCATACAATTAAATCCAGTCCTGTTCACAGGGGTAGTCTAGGAAACTAGTCTTTGAGATTTGTTCCAGCCTCGTGAATGCTCTTCTTAACTGTCTCTTTCCCTGATTCTCTCTGGTAAAATTCAGCTTGGTCGTCTCAAAAAAAAAAAAAAAAAAAAAAAAATTCTGCTTGGTCTATGATTTCACTTATTGCTTTCATACCCCTTCTTAGTTGCTTGCTACAACATCTCTGTTGTTTTCAAAAGCGTCCTTAGGTTTGAACGTTTCCGCACGCTATTCTATATAAAGTAAATTTCCTTAGGGAGCTTTTTGAAGCTTTTTGTTCTTATTGCCAGCCTTTCCCCCTGGGCATGACACCCTGTTTACAAATAAGGCATTGGTGGGGGCAGTAGCCTCTGATCATCTTGGGTTGCCTATACTGGCATGGAACCTCTGCCCTACTAGCAAGCTGAGGGTGAGGATGATCAGGGTCCCAGGATTCTCAGTATATTTTGCCTGGGATAGGGCTTCCTCTTTACAAATGGGGATTGTGTGGAAAAAGAGGATCCTGTATCTCTTATTGGCTCTTCCCTGGAATAGAGCTTCTGCAGTACAGAAGTAGAGGGATGAGAAATGCTCCTGAAGTGTCCTTCCTGGGGAAAGACTGTAGCCCTACATTGGGAGCTAGAGAGAAAGGGAATCCTGTGTTAGTGGCTCCACCTGCGTAGGGTAGGTCTTCCATCATACTAGGCTGCCAGGGTTGGGATGGGGATGGAGTAGCTCATGGTTCAAATGACAGACTCTTTCAATTTTGATAGAGATTTAGTAGATTTTACTGAATAAATGTTTTCTTTTTTCATTGGTCATATGCACTTAGGACAATTTCCAGAGACTTTAAAGAAGTTTTAACCACCATTCCAGAGGTTTTCCCATGAATGATTGAGGCAGGAGAATAGGGCCTGGATGCAGGGAACCTAAGGACTTCTAGAACTAAATCAAACAGAAACATTTCCGCTATGACAGTAAATATTCTCTTCATTTACATAGGGCATACACCAAGTAACCAATGAAAAACCTCTAGAGGGTATTGAAACCCCAGAAAATTCTGTAAATGGGACCCTTGAGCCGTTTGCTCAGGCCTGCTCCCGCCCTGTGGAGTGTGCTTTCATTTTCAATAAATCTCTGCTTTTGTTGCTTCATTCTTTCCTTGCTTTGTTTGTGCATTTTGTCCAATTCTCTGTTCAAAACACCGAGAACCTGGACACCCTCCACTGGTAATGATAATTTTATAAGAAAAAGCTGAGATGACAGCATGAGATAAAAAACATAATCATTCAATTTTTACACTACTAACTATTCATTGGCAAATCACAAAAATAATAGCTATGACAAACTGTACATCAACTAATGGCATAAGACCATAAAGGAAAACTCTGCTGATTAAGGCTTTGGGTAATATGTCATTCTAGACAGCCAAGGTTTACAAATAGCTTAAATCATTTCCATTTTCAAGCTTTAATCCTTGTGGATATGAAACTTTCTCAGATGTATTATATACTTCTCCAACCTTATTAAACAGATCATACTAAATTTAATTTCCTTTTGCTTTATGATCGGGAATTGTCATTGCAAATATTAAGTATTGTGAAATGCTATAACATGGTGATATTCTTAGACTTATTGAACAGGAGGTAGCTGGCCCCATGTTGAAACAATTTTGAGTTCATTGTGTGTTTAAATATGGGAGATTTCCTGTAAAATTTAAATTTAATTTATTTTGAAAGATCTGTGTAGCTTTCATTTCCATTTGGCTACAATATAATTCTCCAGCCTTATTAAACAGATCATACTAAATATAATTTCCTTTTGCTTTATGATCAGGAATTGTTGTTGCAAATATTAAGTATTGTGGAATGCTTGATATTCTTAGACTTATTGAAGGGATTAAGGTGCTTTGTCCTTAAGTTGCTGGAAAAGAGGATCTCCATCCATACTCCAAGAGTGGGTACTTGGATCTCATGCATGAAAGAATTTGAGTCAAGTCACAGAAAACAGTGAAAGAAGCAAGTTTATTGGAAACTGCTCGGTTACAGAGCAGGGCATCCTTAGAAAGCAAGAGGAGGAATGTGCAATCCTTTGTTAGTGTCTTTACTTATAAAAAACTATAAAGAGCTATACTTAAAATTGAAATGTGCAGATGTGCTCACTAAAGGTAGTGGCATTTATTGTTATCGATGACCATTAATCCTTCAACCTAAACTTGTTCATTGGTGCTGTCTTTAAGTAAAGTGGGCTGTATTCTTAGGGCATCTGGACATTCTGTGGGCTGGGTGGGAGATGCTCTATATGGCCATAAATGTTCTGTAATTATAATTGGTGGTCAGCTTAAAATGTGGCTATTTTCAGACTAGAAGTATTAACCTTATAGGTGCCTCGTGAGTGCCTAACTACTCACTTCAAGATGTCGCCACTGTAGTCAATGTTGTATTAAACCAGAGGCCTGGTAAGCAGGGGTTTCTCTAACACTTACATTGGAGAGCACAGAAGAGCCTGGTACTTTGTGGACTGACACATAGAGCCCGCAGAAACGTTACACAGATGTTCTGCTTGGCTGACCTCATGTTGGAAACAATTTGAGTTTATCGTGTGCCTAAATTTGGAAGATTTCCTGTAAAATTTACATTTAATTTATTTTGAAAAATCAGATCTGTGTAACTTTCATTTCCATTTGGCTACAATTGGCTAATGCTGAGCAGTGGCTGTTCCTTGTATTACGTTGGTGCAAAAGCAAGCAACCTAATAAAAGTTTTTGCATAGTGGCAAAAACTGCAATTACTTTTGCACCAACCTGATAGATGGGCATGTGTTCTCTACTTTGTCTCAGTCTTCACCCCTCCTTATTGTCATATACAGGGTTCCTTTACTCATTTGCCTGCTTTGCTTACCCTCTCCTGAAAGTATCAGAGTTTGGGCTTCCAACTTTTTATTTCAATTGGACATGGAATCCAGATAGTTGCAATTCTAAAAAAAAAAAAAAAAAGATGGGAAGGGGTCTGTAAAAGAGTTAGCAGGCTCTAAGTGAGACCACTAAGTGAACCTTGTGACACTTAATTTGGCCACTCAGAAGCCTTCTGAAAAATTACTTGTGGCAGGGCGCGGTGGCTCACGCCTATAATCCCAGCACTTTGGGAGGCCGAGGTGGGCGGATCACGAGGTCAGGCCATTGAGACCACGGTGAAACCCCGTCTCTACTAAAAATACAAAAAATTAGCCAGGCGTGGTGGCGCGCGCCGGCAGTCCCAGCTACTCGGGAGGCTGAGGCAGAAGAATGGCTTGCACCCGGGAGGCGGAGCTTGCAGTGAGCCGAGATCGTGCCACTGCACTCTAGCCTGGGCAACACAGCAAGACTCTGTCTCAAAAAAAAAAACAAAAACCAAAAAAACAAAAACTTGTAACTTAAAAATTACGAACTAGTTTCAGATCAATGAAGTTTCTAGATAGCTAAATCCTTTAAAAAGGAAGTGTCAATAGAGGATTTTGATGATTATCTTTGAAACAATGCTATTGAGAAGTTAGATGTAGTTTATTCACTACATTCAAACTTTTAATAAGATAATTCACAGTAGTTATTTCATATAGCAAATATCTGGTCCTTTCCTGAACCTCCATTTCATTCCCCATGATTTAGGCCTCAAAACTTCTTTCTACACTCGTGTAATAGCTTCCAGATTGTTCTTTTTACCTGTAGCTTTTTGTCTTCGGTCTTTTTTTTTTTTTTCTTTTTGAGATGGAGTCTTGCTCTGTCACCCAGGCTGGAGTGCACTGGCGTGATCTCGGCTCACTGCAACCTCCACCTCCCAGGTTCAAGCGATTCTCCCGCCTCAGCCTCCCGAGTAGCTGGGATTACAGATGCCTGCCACCATGCCCTGCTAATTTTTTTAGTTTTGGTAGAGACGGGGTTTTGCCATGTTGGCTAGGCTGGTCTCGAACTCCCGACCTCAGGTGATTCACCTGCCTCAGCCTGCCAAAGTGCTGGGACTACGCGCGGCTTCAATCTATTTTTCCTTTCTTTCTTTTTTTTTTTTTTTTTTTTTGAGACGGAGTCTTGCTCTGTCACCCAGGCTGGAGTGCAGTGGCGCGATCTCGGCTCACTGCAAGCTCCGCCTCCCGGGTTCACGCCATTCTCCTGCCTCAGCCTCCTGAGTAGCTGGGACTACAGGCGCGCGCCACCACGCCTGGCTAATTTTTTGTATTTTTTTAAGTAGAGATGGGGTTTCACTGTGTTAGCCAGGATGGTTTCGATCTGACCTCGTGATCTGCCCACCTCGGCCTTCCAAAGTGCTGGGATTGCAGGCGTAAGCCACTGCGCCCGGCCCTTCAATCTATTTTTCATACAGTTGCTGGAGTGCTACTTTGAAACCAAAAATCTGATAGACTATTTTGGCTTGCTTTGAGAAATATGTTAGCATGTTGTTCAATCAGAATCAGTGTAGTAGAGTTCACTCTGTAATGAAAACCAAACTATAAGATACTCTATGTGCTAAATACAAAGCAAACCAAGAGATGCAGGCTACAGATTTTGTTTCTGTAACTGCTTATGAGATATTAGATGTAATTAATCACTCTCTTTCTCTACTACTCCTTCTAACATTGCCTTGGACTTCAGCTAGGAGTTCAACTGGGCAGGGTTCCTTGATTGCAGAATTGCTATAGTCTTCCATTAATCTGTATCATCAAGCAAAGTCATAGAAGGAGAGCCCTTGGCTTTCACAGTACAGTCCCTGACTGTATATTTCTCAGGAGTCACAATTAAACTCTCTTCCATGAAGCAAGTACGTAAACACAGCTGACAGAGTAGGCAATATGGTAACTTGGAAAGGACCAGCTTTCAAGTCCTATCTAAGCTGGCACCACACGTGGCTATGAGGATCAAATAGAACCCAGTTATGAGTAGGTTATATAGCTGAAATATAAAATATGTTTGTGTATATATCTATATCTATATCTATATTTGTATGTGTGTGTATGTGTGCAAGAACATACTACAGCCTCTGGCAGGTAAAAGCAAACTTTTGTTATTTTGTTATTTAATATTTATTCAAAAGGAGAAGTATGCATTCTATAAAGTAGTAACTGCCTGTCAATTACCAGGTAATATGTTAATTTACAACAGTAATGAGACTACATTAGCAATTGGAGTCACCACTCAATGGTACTGAATTTCACTTATAACAATTTGGTGCCATTTTCACATACCCATGTATCTTCTGTGTGTGTTAAATTGGATAATTAATGGAGGGTATAATATAAATTGCAATGGGTGCATCTTTTAAGTATTTATAATGACATGATTATATGCAATTTCCCAAGTCATGTAGTTGTGGCTTTTTGTTTGCTCTTATGATTGTCAGGAGAATTGATAGTGGCTTCAGTATGGCTTTTCCTCTGAAAACAGGCTTTGCTACATGGTCAAAGAGTGAATGTAGAGGTACTGTTAATTGCTGAAGATATCACTCAAGCTTTACAATTAGGAACTAGGGCAATAATCAATGAATGGGATTAAGTTATTCCTTAAACTACTGTGAGGCAAACTCAGGACAGAGTAACATTTATCATATGGATTCCATAGCCTCCACTCTGTCCATTGGGATACAGTGGCAGTGTGGATTCCCAGACATTAGTGCTATTTTAATGCCTGTATTCAATCATTTAAAAAAAGAGTTTGGTATGTTTCCCTATTCCCAAGACACAGTTACCCAGATAAATAGCCATGTATATTTTTGGAGAAGGTTAGGAGTAAGATTCAAGAATACAAAATAATATTAATTTGGCATTTTCTCTCAATGGTACCCAGCCCCTTTCACTTAAAGGCTGCTGGGAGTGAACTGACTCAGGGTCTGGAACTGTTTGAGAGGCAATGTTTGAGCAGCGTAACTTTATCATGCTGGTGTTCACTAGATTTGGATTCTTTTTTTCTGTTTTACAAATCAGAGATTACCTTAGTGATTGCTTATTGGTTTCATTCCTGGAACTTCATATTTTAGCCAGAATCAGAGATCTTTTCATGTAGTAAGTTTTTCTGTACCTCATGTGTCCCAGTGCCTATTAATGTTGATGATGCCACCTGATTTCAGTCATTTTGGGCTCCAGTGAAAATTGCTGAAACTAGAAAGCCTTTTGCATTTCATACACTTGCTGAATAGATTGCTGATCTGGAGATCACAGTCAGTAATCAATATTTAAAAGACTGATGTTTTCTCCCAAGACTGGTGTTTTCTCCCAAGTGTCTTTATGCAGCAAGAATGGAGATTGATTTGAGTTCTAATGGGCAAAGAATGAGGAGAGAAGTGGGTGAGATGCACAATAAATCTAGCATTCCACTCTTCAAAGTAGGTGTATTACCCATGCCATGCTGAGTTATTATCCTGGGTACTAGAGCAACAGTGAGAGGAGGTCATAAATGAGTTGTATATGCAGTCATCCCTCAATATCTCTGAGGGATTGGTTCCAAGACCCCCATGGGTACCACAATCCACAGATGCTCAAGTCCCTTATATAAAATGGTGTAGTATTTATATATAGCCTATGTACATTCTACTGTATCCTTAATTTTTTAATTTTATTTATTCATTTTTTTGAGACAAGGTCTTGCTCTGTTGCCCAGGCTGGAGTGCAGTGGTGCAATCACAGCTCACTGCTGCCTCAACCTCCTGGGCTCAAGTAATCCTCCCACCTCAGCCTCTCAAGTAGCTGGGACCACAGGTGTGCACCACCACAACTGGCTAATTTTTAAATTTTTTGTAGAGACAGGGCCTTGCTATGTTGCCTATCAGGTTTTGAGCTCCTGGCCTCAAGTGATCCTCCCTCTTCAGCCTCCCAAATTGCTGGGATTACAGGAGTGAGCCACTGTGCCTTGCTGCCATATGCTTTAAAACATTTCTAGATTACTTATAATACCGAATACAGTGCTTATACATTACTTCATTTTCATGGATTCAACTTAGGTGCGGTGGAAAATTCTAACTTTGCTTCTTGGAACATTGTGGATTTTTTTTTTCTGAATATTTGCAATCCTTGGTTGGTTGAATCTACGGATTGAGAGCCCATGAATATGGGGGGCCAATTGTGTTTCTCCTGCAAGAGGGCCAAGATAACCTCAGGTAAAGAAAACTTAATGGTGTTTCTGAGAGATTTGTGTTTCTGTAATTCCCTGTTTCTTCCAATACATCTCAGATATCAATGTTAAACTTGTTAATATCTTACTGTTTTTTCTGACTAGTGTTTTAATGTTTACAAAAGTGGTCTGTTGAGATGGTGTCAGTTTATCTGGGTCAGTCTGGAAATCCACAGCATAAATTTTTGTGTTTGACTTTCTATAATCTCAGTCTTAAAGGACATCAATATGAGACTTGCATCAGGTTATTAAAAGGTCCTGAGTTTGATTCCATACCTTGAAGGGAGGGCTTTAAAATGGGAACTTTTAATTTTCTTTTCGTTAAGTTCCTTTACATTGTTCAGAGCCACTATTTTCCCCAACAGTCTAAAAATCTTCCTATCCACTTTATTTTGGTAAATGGCAGCAGCTAATTGTCCTGCCAGAGCTTCACCATCAGAGATGACTGCAGTTGAAAACTTGACTTGTTGTTTTGCAGTTTGTAGCAATCAATGGCTACCAGTTTCCCTTCCTGGAATTTGAAGTAGATTTTTATTTTCATTGGACTTACCTCAACTTAATAAGTAAATGCAAATACTGCAAATATGCTTAGGATTCCTTCGCCTGAATTCTACACTGGTACCAATTTCTCTAATTGTAGTATCCTTTAGTTGCAAATCACAGAAACCAATTCTGGCTAACTTAGGCAAAAAGCAATTTGTTTACTCATAGAATAAAAAGAAAATATGGTTACCTAGGGTAGGTCAGGGAATTACTGAACTATCGGTAGGGCATTCTCATCGGTTAACCCAACTCCAGTTGCTTTCTGTCCTGAGGTTCAAATTAGCCTTAACCAAGTCACATCCTCACCTACCCTATGGTGACAATGAGGCCGGGGGTTTGTGGCAGGAGATGGTCCTAGTCCTGTAATGAGTAGCCCCACCAGCCACTCATGGCATGGAGACACAGCAGGTCTCCCAAGAAGGTTGTGAGGCCCAGAAAGCAAAACAGAACAACCCAGATTACCCACTAACACATGATTTGACCTTTTTATTAATGGCTTTTTTTTTAAAGCAGATTATAGTGGTGTTTAAAATATATGTGCCATATAATGCTTAGAAGATAATTTTCTTGATACAAGTTTTGTTTATTTCCTAAAGAGAACTGTTGAAATGTGCAGAGTATCTGGAAAAAATAACATCTATATCTATGTAAAAATTACATTATTATTTAAGTGAAATTATATAATTACATAAAAGTGTGTGATTCAACAAGTTTCTTCAAACTTTAGATATGATGGAGCAAGGTAAATAAAAGTAGGAATAAAAACAAATGTTCTTTCACAACAGGGGAAAGATTATTGTTAAATATATAAAAAAGATAAATTCCTAAGGGTATTAATGGAGAAGAAATATCTGCTCAGCAGGCAGATATTGAAAACAATAACAATCTCAACATGAGTCTCAAAGGCATATAATTAGCATATGGAAAAAACAGTTTAGACCATTAGTTCTCAACTCTGGCTGTGTGTTAGAATCATGTTTTTAAAAGCATAAAAGCCCTATCACCATCTCCAGAAATTGTATAGTAGGGCCCAGCAGGACTGCTGTGTTGCACAGCTCCATGGGACTCCATTCACATCGAAAGTGTATGCAGTGTGTGGCCCTTGGAGTTGTGACCTGTACAGCTAGAAGCAGTGACCTGACAATCAACATTAAGCTATTTTTTTAAAATTTTTACTATTGTCTTTTTTTCCACCAGCATTTAAAAAAATCTCCCTGATGTTTTTTTTTTAAAGCTTAGCCAGATTTGCAACCACTGGAGTCAGAGAATCCTTTGTCTCTTATTCCCATGCCCAGCTTTAGAGTGCCTTTTTGTGATTACTCTTTAAAATTCTCTTTGTGTTAACTTTGGTCTCACCTAAAGTTCTCTTAATGTTAACCTTGATTTCACTTAAAGTTCTCTTAGTGTTAACCTTGATCTCACCTGTCTACAGATGTAGTGGGTAGAATTGGGGATATTGAACACACAGAATTATTAGCTCAAGCCTGTACCTCACATGGGTGACGCTGAGCACATCTTATTCCAGGACAAATGTTGGAAGAGCTGGTTATGGGGAATGTCTGGTAACACTGAAATACGCAAATGTGTTAATGGTAAATGACTAATTTTGATTTATCTGTAGTAACAGCCTATGGCAGAAGAAGTCTTCAGAGTAGCTAACCTCTGGGTGTCCTGTACTATCCCTATTACTTAATCATCTCCCTAATTTACTTTCTTTTCTTCTTCTTTTTTTTTTGATAAAGAAAGGACATGTACATTAATTTAGAAAAACAGGAAAATATCAAAAAATGTTTCAAATTTAATTAATTGTTGGTGCTGCCTCTGACTTTGTTATATGCTTATGTTATATCCTTAATATCTTGTTTTACAGAGGACTAATTATGTATAGGGAAAATTCACAATTTGTGAGATGTTTAAGCCTCCGTTATAAGAGGTACACATGAAGAGATTGATATTAATTAAACTCAAAAGAAAGTAACAAGTAAGAGCAAAGGACTCACAAGACTCAGAGTATATTCATGTGATGCTTTAATAAGGTAAAGGATATGGTTCAGCGGGGAAACAAGGCCCAAACAATGAGAAGTGTGCAAGGCTTCCAGGTGCAGCCCTCAGGGGCCATTTCTGGTTTTATAGGTGAACTGAAACTACCTTATACTTATTTCTTGGGCTGCTTAGAAGAATAGTACTGGTAGTTGGATAAGATATGAATGAGATTTACTACTGATTTATAGGGTTAGTAAGTATAGTAATTTTTATATGGTATATTTATAGGATAAATACACCAGTGATTTATTGGCTTAAATAAACGGCTTAAAATATGTCATTGTCACATCTCTGCCTTTGTTTTACTTCTGGTTGTAGGATCATGGCCAGAGATTTTAGAATCTATAAAACATTGTTTTACCTGTGCATGATCTAAAGAAAGGCCGATGCTCTTCTTTAGCAATTCACAGGTGGTCTTCCTTGTTTAATGTGTACAAAATAGTCCTCACAAGTTTGAATTAGCCAATGTACATTTTAAATACCCCAACAGAAACTCACTATTTAAAGAAATCATTTGTTAAATAATTTTGTAAACTTTAGACACTGTTTGCAATATAAATCTTCATCCCCCACTTCTTTTTTATGCATTGATTGGAATATAGCTATTCGCTTTTGAAGTCATTGCCCCTATTTTGATCTTAACCTATATTCCTCAAACTATAAAACCCTGTGAATCTTTACGGTGAATGGGAAAAGGACATATGTCTTATAGGGACTCTTTCTATAGAGCTGAAATTAAAAGGCACAGTGTGTTGGCAGACTGCAGAACGTAAACCTGAGAAAATGCTTCCTCTGCTGCTTCCTTAATAAATCCCTTCAGGAAAATATTTAATTGCTACTGTCAGAAATCCAAAATATACTAGCCTAAGCAGAAAATGGTATTTTTAAAAAAGAGGCACAATAGGCTGGCTCACAGCAAAAAAGGAAACTTACAGGGTTGAGGACAACGACCTGGATCTCAGCAACTCGAAATGAGAGCTGAAATGTTACTCTTGTTATCACTCTTATTTTCTTTGTTTGTAGGCTGTGTCTTCATGGGCCTCTCCGCATGTCAGAGATCATGGTCCAGAAGGACAGCCTTATGCCAGCCTGTAGCTGCCAGAGAATCCCAAGGAAGGCTGGTGACTAATCCAGCTGAGTCATAACATTGCATATCAGGATTGCTCTGTGCTGACAAATGGACCCATTTTATGACAAGGGGGTGGGAAAGGGCAGAATATTATTGGCCGTCTCCACTAGAATAACATGATTGGTGTAGGGAGGGGACATTATTACCAAAGAAAATGGTAGCAATTACCAGAAGGTGGTAAAAAATAGTCCTGGGAAGGGAAAACCATCACGTAGCAACTTTTACACTGGACTCAATATGGGTACAATGTGAAAAATAATTCCAAATTAACGTAATTTCTTTACTGATATGGGTAACCAACTCATAAAGTAGAGAATGGCTCAGGTAAATTTTTTTTCAGCAAATTGTTTAGCAAAGTCTAACAATTTCCTTGCCAATAAACTATGTGTAATGGATTGAATGACAACCATTTTTGATGAATTGCTAATTTGTTGGGAACAGGCCCCTAAAATCTAGCCATAAAGTGGCCCCAAAACTGGCCATAAACAAAATCTCTGCAGCACTGTGACATGTTTGTGATGGCCATGACGCCCACACTGGAAAGTTGTGAGTTTATTGGAATGAAGGCAAGGAACACCTGGAAAACCACTTAAAGTTGTTCTTAAACCACAAACAATAGCATGAAGGATCTGTGCCTTAAGGACATGCTCCTGCTGCAGATATCTAGCCAGAGCCCATCCCTTTACTTTGGCCCATCCCTTTATTTCCCATAAGGAATACTTTTAGTTAATCTTTAATCTACAGAAACAATGCTTATCACTGGCTTGCTGTCAATAAATATGTGGGTAAATCTCTGTTGGAGGC